>NT_187608.1:0-232857 GCF_000001405.40 Homo sapiens | reverse complement strand
TGGGATTACAGGCATGTGCCACCACGCCCGGCTAATTTTGTATTTCTAGTAGAGATGGGGTTTCTCCATGTTGGTCGGGCTGGTTTCGAACTCCCGACCTCAAGTGATCCGACTGCCTCAGCCTCCCAAAGTGCTGGGATTACAGGCGTGAGCCACTGCACCCAGTCTATATACTGTTTCATATAATGCAGTGTAAACTACTAATTCAGTTTGTTTCACACCCAACCAATGTAAGTGAATTCTTAGGGTCAGATGCCAACTAAGAGTGATAGAAACTCAGTTAACTAATTTCCATATGCTATATACTGTTGCATCTAATGTAGTGTAAAATACAAATTAGATTCCCACTCTCAGTTCCTAGAGCGCTTTCTTCACCCATCAGAAATGTCTTCAAAATAATTGAAAGAATGCCCTGTAACATGAGAGATCTAAATGTCGCAGGGATGAGCCACTGTCCTCACTGTTCTGAGGGAAAATTGCTGGAGGGGGAGCTTCTGTGTACAGGTATGTATGGTGACTGACACATTTGGAGGAAGAAAGCCTAGAGGTTTGCTTTTCCACATCCCACCCCGACCCACGGAATAGGGGGACTCAGGCAAGACCTGGCCGCGGGCAGAGCCCAGCTCCCTGGCTAAGGACGGCCAGGAGACATTTGTGTCTGAATTAAGACTCTTCCACCTGGGTGGCCGTGAGTGGCCACGTGTCTTGACTGCACTTAACGGCCTGGTGCTTTTTTGTAGGTTGCAGTGGTGTGTCTTGATCTCATCCAACAGACAGCTGGTTGAATAGAGTCAACCCAAGACTGTCCATTTTGTGTCTGCTCAGTACAGGCAGACAGAAGGATTTTTTTTAAGGGCTCCATTTTGAGCACTTAAATGATGGTTCTTTAGGTTCATGCTGTTTCTAAAATTAGTCAGCCTTGTAGTTACCAAGGCCTGCCTGTGGGACAGGTGCAGATGACTTGTTTATTCACTTGTGGTTGAGCTGTGTCTGATTTTTTCCTTTTGCTCTGCATTTCCCCTCCTGTCTGTGCTTCCTTCATTTTCTCTGCTAGCAGGAGAGCATGCAGGAACAAGCTCTTGAGCAGCGTTCTGCCTGGGAGGTAGTTCAGAGTCCTGGCGAGATCACTGGGCGAGTTGGGAGGCCGGGGCTGTGTCCTCAGCATGGGCTCTATCACTCGTTTTTATTATGCATCCAACGGGGACTTTCTTACCAGCCCTCTTTGGTCAGGTGACCTCCTGCTGGGTCTCCTGGCGGGGTCTCCTAGGCTAGCAGGACTGTGAGGTCATTACATTCCAACTTTACAGATCTAAACTTTCCATTTGCCTGGAGTACCGGGAGGTGATCTGGCAGAACTGACTCATTTGACCAAACTCATGGGAGACCTATGGCCATAAGGGGCTGGCTTTGGAGAGGAGGCCACTAACCAGTCCAGGCCTCTGGCTTGCTCTGCAGAGCATTTTCTCCTGTAGGTGAAATTAGATTATAGTCTGAGGTGTGTTTCTGGATTGAGGAGTATGAGGAGTAGTATATATATATTTTTTTGAGATGGAGTTTCGCTCTTGTTGCCCGGCCTGGAGTACAATGATGCGACCTCAGCTTACTGCAACCTCTGCCTCCTGGGTTCAAGTAATTCTTTTGCCTCAGCCTCCCAAGTAGCTGGAATTACAGGCATGCGCCACCACGCCTGGCTAATTTTTGTATTTTTAGTAGAGATGGGGTTTCACCATGTTGGCCAGGCTGGTCTCGAACTCCTGACCTCAGGTGATCTGCGTGCCTCAGCCTCCCAAAGTGCTGGGATTATAGGTGTGAGCCACCGCGGCCAGCCTTTTTTTTTTTTTTTTTTTTTTTGAGACAGGGTTCTTCCCCACTGTTGTCCATGCTAGAGTGCAGCGGTGCAATCATGGCTTACTGCAGCCTCCACCTCCTGGGTTGAGTGTTCCTCCCTCTTCAGCCCCCCAAGTAACTGGGATTATAGGCGTGAGCCACTGTGTCTGACTTATAATGAGCATTTTGAGGAAGGAGTCATGTAAAGGTGCTGCCTACCATTAAAAAACTAGAAACTCCACATCAGTAGAACGTTTCTGTATGTGTACTTACATATAAACAAATCCCCTAAACTCCTACTGCCCAGAAAAACTGTTAATATGTGTTATGGAAGAGTGCAGTGGCTCACGCCTGTAATCCCAGCTCTTAGCGAGGCAGAGGCTGGAGGATAGCTTGAGCTCAGGAGTTCGAGACCTGCCTGGGCAATATATCAGGACGCTGTTCTCCACAAAAAGGAAAAAACAAAGACAAAAAATGTGTTACGTATGTAAATACATCTAAAGAAGAATCACACTGTGCTACTGCTTTTTTATTCTTCACTCACTGCTATATTAAAACCATTTTTCTATGTCAATAAAAATCTATATCATTGGCCAGGCATGGTGGCTCATGCTTGTAATTCCAGCACTTTGAGAGGCCAAGGTGGGCAAAATCACCTGAGGTCAAGAGTTCGACACCAGCCTGGCCAACATGGTGAAACCCCATCTCTACTAAAATACAAAAATTAGCCAGGCTTAGTGGCGGGTGCGTGTAATCCTTGTTATTCAGGAGGCTGAGGCAGAAGAATTACTTGAACCCGGGAGGCGGAGGTCGCAGTGAGCCTAGACTGCACCATTGCATTCCAGCCTGGGCAACAAGAGCGAGACTCCATCTCAAAAAACAAAAACAAAACTATATCATTTTTTAGGGGCTGAATACAGTTACATTATATAGCTAATCACATGCATGTAACCAGTTCCATTTTCTTGAACATCAAGACAGTGGTGCATATAAACATCTTTGCCTGTGAATCTGTGTTCACATGTCCATTTACCTCTAGAACGAATACATTGAAGTGGAATTGAGTCCATAAGAGTGTACAGGTAGCAAGGCTGTCCAGGAAAGTTGTACTGATCCACTATGCTGTGGCCCCGTGCTGTGGACGGAGTGTCACCAAGTGAGAGTGGTTTGCCAGGAGGTTTTACTAAAATTCAGCATGATATAAATTGCACAGTAATTGTCATCATCATAGTTCCTAGAGGCCTTAGTACTTTTAGGTTTAGAACCATTCTTTGAGTCCTGTCTGCCTTTTGATTTTGCTTCTGCTTAAGAGCAACAGTGTCACCGGGTGCGGTGGCACTTGCCTGTAATCGCAGCACTTTGGGAGGCCGAGGCAGGTGGATCACGAGATCATGAGATCAAGACCACCCTGGCTAACACGGTGAAACCCCGTCTCTACTAAAAATACAAAAAATTACCCAGGCGTGTTGGCGGGCGCCTGTAGTCCCAGCTACTCGGGAGGCTGAGGCAGGAGAATGGTGTGAACCCAGGAGGCGGAGCTTGCAGTGAGCCAAGATCCCGCCACTGCACTCCAGCCTGGGCGACAGTGCGAGACTCCGTCTAAAAAAAAAAAAAAAAGTAACAGTGTCTTCTTTTTTCTCGTGTACTTCCTCTCTCAGGCTCCTGTGGCAGGCCTTCAGTGGTGTGCTCTTCACCCATGGCCTCTCCCGTGACTCATCACAATTCTTGATAAGGGGCTGCTCCTACCGCCATATCACAGATGAAAAAAAATCTGAGACTGGAGAGTCAGGTGGCAGGGCAGGGTGGTGGGCGTGGGGCCTGATGCCTGTGCCCCACTCGGTGCAAGATTCTGCCCCTGCAGCTCTGCCTGCGACACAGGGCTCATGCTTCTGTTGGAGGGCGCAGTGGTGTTTGGGGCCATGGGGTTGGGCTGATGTCTTTTTTATTTTATTTTTAATTTTATTTTTATTTTATTTTTTATTTTATTTTTATTTATCTTTTTTTTTTTGAGATGGAGTCTCACTCTGTTGCCCAGGCTGGAGTGTAGTGGCGCGATCTCAGCTCACTGCAAGCTCCGCCTCCCGGGTTTGCACCATTCTCCTGCCTCAGCCTCCTGAGTAGATGGGACTGCAGGCGCCCGCCATCATGCCTGGCTAATTTTTTTGTATTTTTAGTAGAGACAGGTTTTCACCATGTTAGCCAGGATGGCCTCAATCTCCTGATCTGTGATCCGCCTGCCTTGGCCTCCCAAAGTGCTGGGATTACAGGTGTGAGCCACCGTGACCAGCTATTTTTTATATTTTGAGACAGATTCTCAGACTATTGCCCGGGCTGGAGTGCGACGGTGTGATCTCGGCTCACTGCAACCTCCGCCTCCTGGGTTCAAGTAATTCTCCTGCCTCAGCCTCCCGAGTAGCTGGGATTACAGGCGGATGCCATCATGCCCAGCTAATTTTTGTATTTTTTGTACAAACAGAGTTTCACCATGTTGGCCAGCCTGGTCTTGAACTTCTGCCCTCGTGATCCGCCCACCTCTGCCTCCCAAAGTGCCGTAATTACAGGCATGAGCCACCGTGCCTGGCTAGGCTGGTGTCTTATTTCCGCTGAGACTCATCATGGTCGAGGAGGAGCATGTAGGGTTGGGTGGGAGGAGAGCTGGCAGATGGGAAAACCAGATCTGTTTTCTGGTCCTTTCTGTGACTTAAGTTGAGCTTGTTTTGAAGTGTTTAGAATTCCCAAGGCATCAGATACACCCATCTTCAAGTGTAAAAATAAATAAATGGTTCAGAGCCACCCGCGATGTTATCTGAGGGAGGGACTGTCTCGTCCTGCCTCCATCAGGACAATGGGAAATGGGCCATGTTCAGGATTTTCCAGGCCTGCCTGTGCTAGAACTTGGCAGCCGAGGACAACGGTCCCAGAGAAGGGGACACATTGGCAACCTCCCTGAGTCTTGGGAGGGCTCAGCCTCACTAGAGGCTGCTCTGCAACTGAGTGGACCTTTGTGGAGGGCCTCCTCTTTCCTGCTCATCACCCAGCGTTGGGAATAGGGTCCCTCTGGTCAGCTGCGAAAGGCCACAGGGAATCCTGGCCTGGTCCCACATGGACTTGGGTGGCTGGATTAGCCCCAGGTTTGGATAGGGCATGGTGGAGAGGGGAGTGGAGAGGGTTTGGGGCCCAGGAGCAGTCTCACAGCAGGGGCTCCCTTTTGAGCACCTCCTCACTTGGAGCACTTCCTTCATGTCCCTGTGCTGGGCACCTGCATCCAAACAGTGCATGCTCTATTAACGTTCACTGCACGCCATCGTCCTCCTCAGCTCCTCCTTGAGCCAGTGCTCATGCTGAAATGAGCACTGGAGTTGCAGAAGAATGTGTCCTCGCTCCAAGGCAACCAGCTGCACTTCTCTCGGGGCCTGTTTTAACTACGGAAGCATCTGCTCCAGCCTTCCCGCCAGGGAGTATTCCCCATGCCTTGGCCTCTGTACTGGCTGAGGCTGTGTCATGTGACCTAAAGAAAGCCATGATCCTTTTGATCATGGATCACTTGAAGAGAACTTGTGTTCCTTCAGACCTAAGGAACTGTAGAGATATATTTTTGTGGTGGAGGGGGGATAGAGTCTCACTCTGTTGCCCAGGCTAGAGTGCATTGGCGTGACATAGCTCTTTGTAGCCTAGAATCCCTGGGCTAGAACAATCCTCCCGCCTCAGCCTCCCAAGTAGCTGGGACCACAGGTGTCTATCACCATACCTGGCTAATTTTATTTTTTTGTAGAGATGGGATCTTGTTATGTTGCCCAGGCTGGTCTTGAACTCCTAGCTTTAAGCAGTCCTCCCACCTTGGCATCCAAAGTGCTGGAATTACAGGTGTGAGCCACTGCACCTGTCTGTGCTGTATATTTGTAATGACACTTGTTAATACTTAACCTGAAAATAATTTACCAATAATTAACCAGTAAACCAAGTTTTATTACTCATGTGGAAGATGTGGGAGGTGGTCAGTTAGTTGCTGGTGTGGTGTCCCATGGCTGTCCTAGGCACTGGCCTCCATCCCAAGGCCCTCATGGTGAAGCACAGCTACTGGAGCCATGGCATCTATCTTCCAGGTGGTAGATGGGAGGAAGGCAGGAAAGATGAAGGGCCTGGCTCCGGGCTGAGTCGGCTTGCCCTGAATGCCTTCTTATGGTCTGGACACTTCTGCTTACAGCTCATTAGCCAAAGCTTTGTCACTCTAAGAAAGCTCGGGGACCCTCTTGGTTGATGGACTTGCCCTGAGTGAAAGTGGAGTTCTGTATTCAAGAATGGGGGAGAGAGTGGATTTGGGTGCAGCTGGCAATCTCCAGTCTGTACTTCATTAGGCGGAACATTGCTGTTTGAGATCTTGTTATTCTGCCTTCTTCCTTTGCAGTGTGATGTGGAGGAGCACAGCACAGCTCTGTATGGGTGGTGGTATCTGCGTAGTAATTCATGGAAGGCGTCTCCAGCAATACAGCCTGGACATCTACATGTGGGATTTTGTTCAGCCTTCCAAGAACCTCATTTTGCACGTGGGGAAACTGAGGCTCAGAGAGGTTGAGGAATTTGTCTAGGGCTGCAGGCCATCAGCGGCGAGGCAGGGTCCCAGGGAGACCTGTGCTCTCCCAATATTCTATTGACAGTCAAGCAAAGAAGACCGCTGTCTTTGTTTCCAAGTGCCACAATGCAACAAGGCTGAATGGTGCCGGAGGTCTCCTGGGGAAGCCTAAAGCCTGAGGAGAAGGGCCTGGGACACTGTCCAGCTGGCCTTGTCATCCTTGTCCTGGAGATCTGAGGTATTTGAGCTCTGGAACAAACCCTGTGGCTGGGTCGCTGTGAGGGCCCCAGGCTGCCATCTGGCCACCCTCAGGGGCACATCCCTCCTTCCTTAGGCCTTGTGTACTCACTGTTCCCTCTGCTGTCCCCATCCCTCCCTTTGCCTGCTGGTCTCATTAACTCTTCCGCCACCTCCTCCCAGGTTTGCTTGAAGAGATGGTGTTAGAGCTCCAGAACGGCGATCTTGCTGTCCTTCTACTGTGCCCTGGACTTTCTCGATACCACTGGTCACAGATGTAATTGTGTTTGTGGTTTTTTGGCGAGGGGGGTGATTATTTAACGCTCATCCTCTTCACTTGACCGTAAGCTTCTGGAAGGCAGGGACATGTCTTTTTTTTTCTTTCTTTGAGATGGAGTCCCGCTCTGTCGCCAGGTTAGAGTGCAGTGGCGCGATCTTGGCTCACTACAACCTCCGCCTCCTGGGTTCAAGTGATTCTCCTACCTCAGCCTCCTAAGTAGCTGGGATTACAGGCACGTGCCACCACGCCCAGCTAATCTTTGTATTTTTAGTAGAGACGGGGTTTCACCGTGTTGGCCAGGATGGTCTCGATCTCTGGACCTCGTAATCCGCCCTCCTCAGCCTCCCAAAGTGCTGGGATTACAGGCGTGAGCCACTGCGCCCAGCCAGGGACGTGTCTTTAATCCCCAGCCTGTATCTGGCACGGAGGATGTGCTGAGTAACTATCAGAAGGAAGCACCATCCCCCGCCCTCCCCTTAGAGGGCCTCTGTTACGTGGTCACCTCACAGACTGTGCTTCAGCCCAGCCCTGGGGTGCTTGGGAGAATAGGCGGAACAGCTACGTGGTCAGCGGCCATCCCTTGCAAGTAACAGTCCCCCTCCTAATGACCCTCACGCTGCATGGCCCGTTACAGTGGTTCAGTAAGTTTTTATATCCATGCCTTACTTAATTCTCACACCGCCCTCCAAGGTGGGTTTGAACTAATCCGTCTGTGTGTTGGATGGAGATGTCACAGGATGGAAAGGCCTAGTGTGGGCCAAGCCTCCCTGGAAGGGTCCCCTTCAGGCCTGCACCCTTGGTGGGGATTCTGTGCTCTCCTTTTCCCGCTGCCCTGTCCCTGCAGGGTGCTGCTATCTGGACTGAGAGCATCTTCCCTGAGGCCCACGTGAGCTCCTGCTTGCTTCTGGCTCACTTCTTGCTTTGGCCTTTTCCTCCAGACCTGGTTTGGGCCTTGCCATTCTCTTTTCAGACCCAAGAAGCACAGAGAGTGTTTGTCTTTTACCTCGGCTCTGCCCCTCATGGAGCAGTGGGCACCTCCTTTATTCAGCACATGGAAGCTGCAGGCAAGGCAGAAATCGGCCTTTCAGTTTTCCCAGCAAAGCAGAAAGCCCTGTTCCTGGCTGGATGCCTGGGACCTGCCTCCTGGGGACAGAGGAGCCCCTCTGAGGCCAGCTGGCGTCCTGACGCCATGGCTGCCACGTGGGTAAGCACCTCCTGGGGATGCAGCACCAAGCCAGCCCAGCTCTGAGAAATGTGTCTGGGCAGCAGCTGCTGCAGAGCCCCTGCCACCAGGGTGTATTGGTGGAGCATCCTTCCAGGGGCATTGCCAACCTTGGGCACTCCCAGGCAGGCCCCTGGCATTTCCACAGCCCACCAGGAGAGATGGCCCTTGGAGGACTGCTAGTGTCTCTGCCTTCTCAAAGAGTTGTCTCGGGTTACCGTGGAGCAGGTGGCCCAGCTGAGCTGTGCTGTGAGGGAACGCTGCTGAGCTGAGTTCTTAGGGAGGGTTTTGATTGCAAGTCCCTCCAGAATCCGGTAGAGGCATCCCCTTGTAGTCATATTAGTGAACATGCACCAGGACCCCTCGTTGGGAATCAGAAGGCACTCCATGGCAGAGGCGTCAATACCTGTTGTTTTCCTCCCTGTTGGAAGTTGCCTAATAAAGCATAATAATAGCAGTTTCCATTTATTTAGCGTCATTGTGTGCTAGGCCCAGCGTTTCTGCTGCAGGCGTTTCACACACAGTCTCTCTTCAACCTCACTCCCACCCTGAGAGGTAGGCATGATCATCTCTGTTTACAGAGGAAGAAACCGAGGCTCAGCTCGCTCAGCTGGAAAGTGGTGGGTCTTGGGGGTCTGGGTTTGAATTAAGCTGATGCAGAGCGGGCCCCCCCGCCTTTTTTTTTTTTTTTTTTTTTTAATATTGATGACGTCTTGCCATGTTGTCCAGGCTGGTTTCGAACTCCTGGGCTCAAGTAATCCTCCCGTCTCGGCCTCCCCGAGTGCTGGAATTACAGGCCTGAGCCACCACACCTGGCCCAGAGCCCATGTTCTTGACTGCTTGTTTCATTTAAAGCCTTCCACCGGGTGGCAAGCACATCCCTGGGGTGGGGCCTTGCCAGAACAACAAACTCAGGGCCTCCCCAGGAGCGACTCCAAGACTTGCAGGCCACTCTTGATCCTTCTGGTTGTGAAGTCCTGTCCCAGCCCTGCACTTGGCTGATACGCACCCCTTAACTTCTAGTGGGGGTTCCTCTAGCACAGCAGTTCTTGAAATGTGATCTGCAGTCTCCTGGGGGCTTCCTGAGACCACTCGGGGGGCTAGGATCAGAACTGTTTTAATAATAACACGGCCATGATTTGTTACCATGCCTCTTTGTTTGTGATGGCTTTCACATTGATGGTGTAGGAGCAGTGCGGAAACAAGCTGTGGGGCCTGCACTGACTCAAGACTGGCACCACACTGTGCTGGTCTTGTTGTAATTGAGTCTTCACCACCACACACACAGTACACACACACACACACACACACCAGTGTTGCATCAGAAAAAGCAGTAAAAATCAACTTTATTAAGTCCTGACCCATGAGTCCACAGCTTTTTAAGATCCTTTGTGACGAAATGAGGCACACATGAAGTATGTCAAATGGAGTTTGATGCTGTCGTGAGGAAAAGCACACGTGCATTCATTTGAAGTGTGGGCCGAACTAGCTGCCTTTTTCATGGACTCCATCTTCACTTAAAGAACAACTGGCACACACCGTGGTTATTCAGATTTGGATATTTAGCATACACTTTCTTGAAAATGAGCAAAGTGAACTTGCTACTTCAAGGGAAACAACTGACCTTTTATTTTTGTATATGTTGCTGTTTCTATATTTGTTAGTGCTTTGTTGCCAGTGATGAAATTCAAGCTTTCAAATGATGATTAGCGTTAACAATATTTAGTGACTTTAATGACATTGGTAGTGATACCAGCAATGTGATTTAAAAAAATATATATTGTTCAATGAGATGTGTCAACATTGGTAGATCTGCATTACAGGAACCCGTATTTTCAGGTGACCCACACATGATGTTAAGAAATCATGTCTATGTAAAAGACCCATTCCAAATGCAAGGTACACCAATGACTTCTAATGTAACACATTAGAAAAAAACCATTGTTAAGGCTTCCAATTCCTGTGGCAACTAACCCTTAAGAAACTACCACTTGTCGGTCAAGTGCGGTGGCTCACACCTGTAATCCCAGCACTTTGGGAGGCCGAGGCGGGCAGATGACGAGGTCAAGAGATTGAGACCATCCTGGTCAACATGGTGAAACCCCATCTCTACTAAAAATACAAAAATTAGATGGGTGGCATGCCTGTAGTCCCAGCTCCTCAGGAGGCTGAGGCAGGAGAATCGCTTGAACCCGGGAGGCGGAGGCTGCAGTGAGCCAAGATTGCGCCACTGCACTCCAGCCTGGTGATAGAGCGAGACTCTGTCTAAAAAAAAAAAAAACCTACCACTTGTCAAGTCTTGATGTAGTATTAGTCCATTGTGCTTCTCTAACAGAATACCTGAGACTGGGTCATTCATAAAGAAGAGGAATTTATCTCCTTACAGTTCTGGAGGCTGGTGTCTTAGTCTATTTGTGTTGCTATAAATTACCTGAGGCTGAGTAATTTATAAAGAAAAGAGAGTATTTGGTTCCTGGTTCTGCAGGCTTTATAGGATGGCACGGTGCCAACATCTGCTTCTGTTGAGGGCCTCAGGCTGCTTCCATTCATGGTGGAAGGCACGGGGGGTCTCTGTGCAGAGATCACATGGCGAGAGAGGGGGTGAGAAGGGGAGGGGAAGCGCTGGGCTCTTTCTGACAACCAGCAAGGATGCGGGGACTAACAGAGTGAGAAGTCACTCGCTTCTCCTCCACCCCAGGGAGGGCATTTATCTATTCATGAGGAATCCACCTCCCATGTCCCAAACAACTCCCATTAAGCCTCACCATCAGTCATCAAAACTGTGGTGCTTGGGAAGTCCAGGATCAAGGCACTGCCAGCATCTGGCAAGGGCCTTCTTGCTGTGTCATCCCATGGTGGAAGGGCCGCGGGGAGAGGCACCCACAAAAGACTAGCTAATCCTCTTACAAGGAATCCGCTCCCAAGATAGTGATTTGTAGCCAGTCTGTCAGAAGCGCAGGTCGCAAGCTAGGAATTGCGATGATCAGAAGTGGGGGGCAGTCATGGAACTGAGCCCTCAACCTGTGGGATCTGACACGGTAGCATCAGACTTGAATGCCACTAGAAGACGTCCACCTGGTGTCCGCTGCAGAACTGACTGCTTGCTTGTTATTGGGGAGAAACCCCCACATGTTTTGCCACAGAAGTCTTTTCTGTTGATTGTTATGGTGTGAAAGCAGAGGAGAAACAGGTTTTTTCTCCACACCTTCACATGCCACAGAACCCAGAGGGTGTGGAGGGGTAGACTTTGCAGAGGCCTCTGGTCTTCCATAGGAGTGACTTACTATTAAGTTTGTGATTGACTTGTAAAGATTTTCAAACAGGCACCTATTTTGTTTGCAATTAATAAATCCAAGATTTAAAGCAAGAAGGCCAAGAAGCCTCTCTTGGATTTGTCAGGGCTGCAAGTTGACTTCAGTGGGCTCCCCAGACCCCGCAAGTCTCCCCTTCCTCCTCTGTTGGGAACTGGGCAGATCCCCAGGTCTCCTAGCCCCCTCCCTCACCAGCACCTTCCCACAGCAGAGGTGCTGGGGCTGCATTTTCAGATCAGACATTTTCCATTTTGTAGCTTAATTTGAACAGTACTCGTTTTATTGGAAAACTATTTTGCTTCTGATCGTGTGATTGAAAGATTATTCTTGTAGTTTTTATTACACCCTACACAACATGGTTTTGTGGGAATGCATGTTTGATTTTGTATTGGAAGGCACTGGGAGAATGGGTGTTTGAATTCGGGAAATCTTCATGAGCTGTTTTCCAGATCCTCTCCTTGGTAGAGAAGGACCTGCCCTGCAGTCTCTGCTGGGGTTCAGGAAGGCAGCAGGAGGACGCATGTGGATATGGAGGGGTGAGGGGGAGCAGTGAGTAGCAGGCATGGCCCTAGGTGGGGAAGACACGGAGGAGCAACAGGGCCCTGCGGCCCCCGGTGAGGGGCAAAGAGAAGGTGGGCTCTGGTGTGGCCATCGAGCTGGAGGGGAAGCCAGCCCTGTGCAGGTCCAGACCCTTCCCTGTGGCCTGCATTTTCTGTACCCAGGTTGGGTGAACACCAAAGGAGGGCTATGCCCTGTGGGCTTACACCCTATCATCATGGGCAAGGCTGTATGTGGAATTCCAGAAATAGAATTTTTGAGCTCTAGGAGATCATAGGATTATATCTGTTGACTTTGATGAAAAGATGGGCCAGAGAAAGGCAACACCTGCATTCTCAGAGATGGGGTGTGTGTGCACACGTGTGTGTGTGTGTGCTCCCTGCAAGGGACCCAGGCTGGGATCTGCAGGTGCTTCAGTGACTCACCAAGCACAGTGCAGCTTATTTTCCTGGTCTGCTCAGAGCATCCCAGGGCCTGGACCATTCCCCGATGAGCAAGACCACTGCAGACCACAGTGTTGGGCCACTTGGTGGACGGTGGTGCCACCCAGAGGCGCCAGAGAGCATTTTCTGGGAGTCTGGGAGTTTGTAGCAGGGGCTGGCACTTATTCCAACTCAACGTATTGGAGCAGTTTTCCAGACGCAGGTAAAGCCCCATGAAAGGCTGCCCTCTTCTCCCCTGCAGGAGGGCACCTGGCAGGCTAGGAGCAGCCTGGGCAAGGGACCCCAGGACCAGCCCCAAGAGGCACTGCTGCTACTCCCTGTTCTGTTTTTTTTTTTTTTGTTTTTTGAGACAGGGTCTCGCACTGTTGCCCAGGCTAGAGTGCAGTGGCCTGATCATGGCTCACTGTATCCTCTGAGTCTTGGGCTCAGGTGATCCTCCTGCCTCAGCCTCCCCAGTAGCTGGGACTACAGGCATACATTATCATGCCTAATTTAAAAATTTTTCTTTTGTAGAGACAAGAGTCTTGCCATGTTGACCATGCTGGTTTCGAACCCCTGGCCTCAGTTCATCTGCCAGCTTCAGTCTCCCAAAGTGCTGAGATTAGATTACAGGAATAAGTCCCTGCACCTGGCCACTGCTCCCTTTTCTTAACCCTGTGCCATTGGAATTCACTGTGCAGGCAGGAGGGTGGGAGAGTCATGCTGGGGTCCTAGACTTATGCCCCGCCCCATCCTTTTCTAGGCCTCCATGTCTTCTGTGGATAATAAGGCAACTCAGAAGAGGTGTAATTTCTGAACACTTGGAAAGATGTTCTGTCTCCTGATTGCCAAAGAAATGCATATAAAAATAAGTGACATTTTAATATGAAAATTAATAACTGGCACTATAAATTGGCATCCTTTCAAAAAGGCATAAAATGCTCATGTCCTTTGACCTAGTCATCTCACTCTGACAAGCTTAGCCTGAGGAGATAATCTAACAAAAGGGAAAGAGCGGTGGACAGAGGTGTTCTCTTGTATTTCATGAAAGCAGCAAGTAGGGCCTTGCCTAAATGTCTTAATAGGGTTTGGTCAAGTATGCCCATTTTGTGGAATATTAATATCAACGGTCACGGAGTCTTGTAAGATGGAATATGTGTGACACAGCATTAAAAGGATTTACCAGCCTGGTCAATGTGGTGAAATCCCTTCTCTACTAAAAAAATACAAAAATCAGCCAGTCGTGGTGCCGTGTGCCTGTAGTCTCAGCTACTTGGGAGGCTGAGGCAGGAGAATCGCTGGGACCCGGGAGGCAGACGTTGCAGTGAGCCAGGATCGCGCCACTGCACTCCAGCCTGGGCAACAGAGCAAGACTCTGTCTCACAAAAAAAAAAAAAAAAAAAAAAAAAGGATTTAAAACTGTCAGGACAGCAACTATATTTTTATATGGTATGGGCTGGGCGCAGTTGCTCCTGCCTGTAATCCCAACACTTTAGGAGGCCGAGGCAGGAGGATTGTTTGAGGCCAGGAGTTCGAGACCAGCCTGGGCAACATAGTGAGACCCCCGTCTCTACAAAACAAAACCAAAAGGTACAGGTGCCTGTGCATACAGACCAGCAGGGACATGTGGAGATGGGCTGCAGTAGGACTAATTTTCTTTTCCCTCATTTTTTTTAAAAATAAGTTTTATTGACATAATTTACGTACCATTCAATTCACCCATTTAAAGTGTACAATTCAGTGGTTTTTAGTTATTCACAGAATCGTTCAACTGTTGCTACAATCGGTTTCAGAGCATCTTCGTTACCCCAGAAGGAGATTCCATGTTCCCCATTTCCCCTCTCCCCCAGACCTAAACAGCTACTAATGTACTTTCCGTTTCTATGGGTTTGCCTATTGGGGACATTTCATATAAGTGAAATCATACAGTATGTGGCCTTTTGTGTCTGGCTTCTCTCACCAAGCATGTTTTCAGAGTTCATGCTGTAGGGTGTCAGTGCTTCCTTCCTTTTTATAGCCGAATCGTCTTCCATTGTCTGGGCAGCCTACGGTTTTGTTTATCCACTTTGTTGATGGACATTTGGGTTGTTTCCACTTTTTGGCTATTATGATTCATGCTGCTGTGAACATTTGTGTACAAATTTCTGTGTAGACAGGTTTTCATTTCTTTTGGGCAGATAACTAGGGGTGGAATTGCTGGGTCATCTGGTAACTCTAGGTTTAACCTTTTGAGGAACTGCCAGACTGTTCCTCAAAAGGGGAACAGGGGCTGGCAGTTCTTCAAAAGGTTTGCAGGGGCTGTCCCCTACCAGCAGTGTATGAGGGTTCCAGTTTTTCTACATAATGCCTATTACTGTCTTTTTAAATTTTAGCCATCCTAGTAGATAGGAAATGGTCTCCTTGTGGTTTTGGTTTTCATTTCCCTTATGAAAAGACGCTCAGTAGTTTTTCATGTGCTTTTGGCCATTTGTCTTTTGAGAAGTCTTTGTTCAAATCCTTTTAAAAATTGGGTTGTCTTTCTGTTATTGAGTTGAGTTCTTTGTATTTCTTAATACAAGTCCTTTATCAGATCTATGAATTATAAAATGTGATGGTATCCTTTGAAGCACAAGAGTTTTTCATTCTGATGACATCCACTTTAAGTTTTCTTTCTTTTGTTGCTTTGCTTTTGGTGTCATATCTAAGAAACCACTGCCTAATCGAAGGTCATAAAGATTGATGCCTGCATTTTCTTCTAACAGCTTTTTGATCTCTTTCAGTTTTCAAACTTCCATGGTACTTTATAGTTGAACCCAAGAGCTTGGACTTGGTTCCTCTGGCCCTGCCCCTGATTTGTTAAACTTTATATTCAAACTTATGTGCCCTCCATCCCCTGCAGGTGCTGGGCTGTCTGGGAAACACTCCTTTCCCTGTATTTTTTGTTCCACTGAAACTGATTTTTGTCTCATTTTATTACTTTTAGCTAAGGTAACTGAACCCCACTTCCCAAGTCCTTTATGATGCTAAGTAAGAGCAAAAGCTTCCCACCTTTCTGAGCTGTGCTCAGAGAGTTTGGTGACAGAAATGAGGGAAAAGATTTCACTTGACTCTTCTTCCCCCTGACCCCCACCTCAACAAACAAACCAGAAGGGCACAGGCCAGAGCACAGCTTGCCTGGCAGTCCAGTCCTCATGCATGGGAGCTCAGGCCTGGTGGGAGGGGAGGCAGAGGGCCCAGCCGTGGCCCTTGGGTGCCAGCAGTCCTGGGGGAGGGAGGAAGCAGACCTGCGACGGGACCGAGGAATGGAGGGGTGGTCGGGTGTGTGGATGGCAGAGTGACAGCTAGGGAGAAGCCGGATGTGGAAGGGGAGGAACTGTGTGGTATGCCCAGGCCCCTGGGCCCAGCCCTGGCTTGGCAGCCCTTGCTCCCTGCTGAGGGCCCTGCCTTTCCTTCCCCTGAAACAGCTCCCGGAGCCCTGCCTGTTCCCTGTCCATCCAGGCCAGCAGCTGAAGGAGCCTCACCTGCCTCCCTTCTCTGAGTAGCACGGATTTGAGGTAAGAAATCCCCCAGAACCCCCATTCCCAGTGCAGCCTGTGGCAGAGATCGGTCCAGTGTCTCCTCCGACTGCCTTAGTGCCCGCTAAACGTTTGGGGAGGGGAGAGCTCGGTGCCAAACTGCTCTCGTGTGGGGCAAGTGCTGAGTTAGGCTCCTTGGGGGACTTTACCTCACTGGGCCCTGCTTCCTGGGTTCTGTCCTTGCCCTTCAGCTTCCAAACAGGGAAGAGCAGGTGACTACTGAGAGGTGAGGATGGTGGCTCTGGGCTAGGTGGCCCTGGGAAAGGTGGGGGATCCCCAGTGCCTGGAGGCAGACCCTTCTGAGGATGGTCACACGCCTTGTGCAGCATCTTGGCCACCCCACAGGGCTGAAGGAGAAGGAACCTGGCTGGGAGCTTAGTTCATGTCTGGGTTTTCCCTCCATGTCCAGGAGAAGCAGCGAAGATGTCCAGCGAGCCTCCCCCTCCTTATCCTGGGGGCCCCACAGCCCCACTTCTGGAAGAGAAAAGTGGAGCCCCGCCCACCCCAGGTAGGGGGTCACTGTTCCTGAGGCTCCATATTGCAGCCCCCTGCCGCCATGGCATGGTTGGGACTCTCTAAGTGGTGATGCCCACTCCAGGGTTACCCCTGGGCCCCATCTGTGTCCCAAAACAGTGGCCTCTGGTCGAGCTCATCGTGCAGAGGCTCCAGCTCAGTCTCCTCTTTCTGCCTCTCTCTGTCCAGGCCGTTCCTCCCCAGCTGTGATGCAGCCCCCTCCAGGCATGCCACTGCCCCCTGCGGACATTGGCCCCCCACCCTATGAGCCGCCGGGTCACCCAATGCCCCAGCCTGGCTTCATCCCACCACACATGAGTGCAGATGGCACCTACATGCCTCCGGGTGAGTGGGGAAGGGATCTGAGGGGAGCATGGGGAACTCCTGGCTGCTGTCTGGCCTGCGCTGGCTGTCCTCAGTACAGGTGGGCATCTGCTGTAGGGCAGGGACTCCAACACGCCCAACCAGCCCTTGCCTAGGGCTCAGGCTGTGTGTGGACAGGGACTGTGGACGTGGGAAGGTGGGACTGCTCTTATTCAGGCTGGTCAGGAAGGGCTGGTCCTTGGCACACCAGGACCTGACATGGGTGGGGAGGGGCGCCTTGTGTGCAGGAGAGGGGTGGGTGACCCGCAAGGCTTTCCCTCTCTTGGTCATGGGCTTGAGGCTGAGTGCCCTGTCCTTGCATGCTGGAGACAGACAGAGGAGCAGAGGGACCGGGCCATGTGCCTGGCTCTCTGCCACATCTGTCATGGGCCCCAAGGGGTGGGGACCAGGAAGGGCTGGGAGAATGTGGCCCCACTTGACTTAGGGCCCCAGCTGTAAGGCCTCCCACTGGCCCGTTAGGAGGGCGGTAGGAGGTCTGAGGCGTAGCCTTGCACGCTGGGCGCTGTGGACCGTGGGGCTTTGCGCCAATCTCTTTGTCTGGTGCAGGTGGCAGGCCAGTGACCTCTCGCCTCCATCTTCTGTGCCATTCCAGGTTTCTACCCTCCTCCAGGCCCCCACCCACCCATGGGCTACTACCCCCCAGGGCCCTACACGCCAGGGCCCTACCCTGGCCCTGGGGGCCACACAGCCACAGTCCTGGTCCCTTCAGGAGCTGCCACCACGGTGACAGTGCTGCAGGGAGAGATCTTTGAGGGAGCGCCTGTGCAGACGGTGTGTCCCCACTGCCAGCAGGCCATCACCACCAAGATCTCCTACGAGATTGGCTTGATGAATTTCGTGCTGGGTTTCTTCTGTTGCTTCATGGGGTAGGTGGTGTGGGCACTGGTAGGGTGGGGGCTGCACCAGGGTCAACTGGCTGCCTCTGCCTCCTCCGCAGCAGGCCTCAGCCTGTTCTTCCCTGTCTCTGATTCAGATGTGATCTGGGCTGCTGCCTGATCCCCTGCCTCATCAATGACTTCAAGGATGTGACGCACACATGCCCCAGCTGCAAAGCCTACATCTACACGTACAAGCGCCTGTGCTAACGGAGCTGGGACTCGGGACTCCCCCGCCTGTCAGTCTGGCCCCCTGTGCTTTGCTCCCTGTGCTCAGTGGTCACTTTCCCGCTCCCACTTGGGGCTGGGAGCCGTGCCACCATCCCCTAGAAGTCCTGTCCTCTTCACCCTGCCCTACCTGAGCCGCTGACTCTTCTGGCAAAAATTCTGTTGGGATTTAAGGCCAAGGGTCAGTGGGTGGCAGGGGGCTGACAATGAGCTTGTGTGTTGTTGGTCTGCTTGGTGTGTGTGATCGGGAAGATAAGCTGGGAGGGGTCTCCTGCTGGGGTCCTGATGCCTCTGTTTCCAAACAAGGTACAGGTTCAGTCCAGACTCTTTCCCCCTGGGACCAACAGCAGCCAGAGCAGTTAGCCAGTTAGTCCCCAGGCCTGTGGCCACAGGCGTTTCTGACCTGCTGGGCCGAGAATGGGTAAGTTGTCTGGAGTCAGGTGGGCCCACGTAGGACAGGGTCACAAAGCCTGGGTTTGTTTCTGGGTACTTTGCGCCTCTGGGGTGCTAGAGGTGGGGCATGGTGGCTGGAAGTAAAACTGCCAACTCTGGCCCTCAGAACTCTCAGGTATAGAAGCCCAGGATGTCTAATACCCTGTCCCAGTGCCCGAGAGCTGCCTGGTGTCAGGTAGAGAGGACACTGTACCTGGGTGAATGATCAGACCCTGGTAGCTAAGAAGGAACTTGTCCCTTTGAGTCAGTGTGCAGACCCCCTTTCAGGCCATGCCTCTGTGAACCCTGTATTGCTGGGGCCGGAAGGAGCCCCTGAGCCTAGCCCCTTCCCGTCTGCCCTGTGTCCTCACTGCGTGTGGGTATGACCTCTGCCTGGTGGCTGGTGTATCCCAACTGGGCAAGAGATGGCAGAGGGTCCCCCTTGTGGGTGCGCTTGGATGTGCAGAGCCTTCTCCATGGATTTTCTTCCCTGTAAGTGCCGGGCCCCTCACCCCAGCTGACAGGCTGTTGCTGTGCCTGCTCACACCTGCTCCTGCAGGCACACTGGGCTAGGGACGAGGAAGGAGCAGCCACAAGTGGTAGAACTGCCTTGGTGGACACCAGCCTCGCCCTGTCTTTATTTCCTGAATGGTTTGTGAACTTGCTCACCTGGACCACTGTATCCTGCCACTGTCCTTCCTGGTCTCGCACTGCCACTGCATGGCCTCCTGTCACTGTGAATCGTGGCCCAGTCTCAGTTTGTAGTTTCTCATTAAATTGGCCCTTTCACTCCCCCGCCCTGGGCCTCTGCTCTCTTGCCTGGCTTCCTTCTTTTTTGAGGGAAAGAGGGTGGGGCTGCAGGCAGTCTACTGGCAGGACGGGAGGCTGAGTCCTCAGGGTCTCACACCCTCAGTGCTGATGCCATGCCAACTGCCTGGGACAACACCAACACGTAAGGACCTAATTAAACCAAACCAGAGTCGGGTGTAGACCAGCCCTGGGATTTCCAGCTGTGACTGGGCCAGGGCACACGTTGGTCTCGGCAGTGGCTGTAAGGTCACCTTCCTTCCTCTGATGCTGGTTTCAACCATCTATATATGGCATCCACGCATGGGATCTGCAAGCTGGAGCCCTCCTACCCGCAGGCTTGAGCACAGCATCATCCAGCCCTGGGGAGGCGCACCCTTAAGCAACACAGACTGGGCTGAGGCTGACAGGCAGAAGACTAACAGAGCGCAGTCTGCACACGCAGGTTCTGGGCGACCTCTGGCCCTGGCCATCTCTGCACTAACTCATCTGAATTATGAAGGTGGCAGTCTTGGTCAGTAGTTTAAAGAGTTTCCCTACTTTTTAACCCTTTTTGAAATAAAACTTTTACAGGTAGTAGATTCCTATTAATAAAATTATTTAAGTTCATGTTTCTCTTTTAGAGAATGAATTGTTTAAATACAAATATGTGCTTTTTTAAAACCCTTATTTTTAAATATATATATATATTTTAAAAAAACCTTTTAAGTAGGAAACCTCTAAGGTATTTCTGAGCTAAAAAATAGCAGTGCTGGATACACTTTAAAGATCTTTGCAAGACGGTTAGAGTGACTTTGCTTTGGAGACTAGAGGTGCTGGAGAGTAGACCCAGAGCAGGAGGTGGCTGCTGGGAGCCATGATGGACGATGTCCACTCCCCACACAGACATAACATGCCCTTGCTTCTGAGGGACTCTCCTATGGGGAGGTGGCTTGACCCACCCGGTGCCAGGAGGCAGGGAAGGAGGTAGCTTGCAAAGCCCACTTTATTGAGTGCTGGAGCATTTACACAGCGCGGAGGAGGAGATAAGCTGGGGCTGAGCAAACCGCACCCAAGGGGTTAGAGGGATTCTGGGTGAGAGGGATGAGCTCCCAAGGCCTCTGAGGCTTCCACCCACACCCACCCTCACTCCCAGGGTCCAAGAGAGGCCCAGAAGTTGTACAGCAGCATCCAGCAAGGCCCCCTCGCACAGCTTGGACTTACAGGCCACTCACCTCCAACAGGGGAGATAGTCACCCATGTACTGCAAAAACAGGGACTACCGGAAGCAGCCTAGGGCCCAGAAGTGTGGAAGCCTGGAGTAGAGCTGGGTCGGGGGCCAGGCTTGCTGCACTGTGCCGACTGCTCCCAGGGTGACGGCCTGTGCCCAGTGCGGAATATGGCCCATAGAGAGGATGCTGTCAGGCAGAGGCTCTAGCATCTGGCTTTTATTGGTTGCCTTTCTTAAACCCAGCATTTTTTAAAAAGTCACCTGAGGTGGTAGTTTAGTCAGGGCTGGAGAAAGGGGTAGGCCAGTGGTCAGTCGGGAGGAGGGTACCGGTGTGGCATGATGGGTGCTTCACATGTAGTACCAGGCCAAGAGTCCAGCAGCTAGGGCCACACCAGCGGCCAGGATGAACTGGAGGCTGGGCTTCCTCAGCACAGCCATAGCTGTTCGGAAGGGACAGCTGCTGCCCTCCAGGGCACCTGTGTGGCAGCACCAATAGGAGACATGGCATCAGTGGAGTCTCCTGCTACACCTGCCCCAGGAGGGGAGCTCAGGACACACAGACCTACCTTTGTCTTGTTCAGCAGCGTAGAAAGGGCATTTACGCATGTCTCCTTTCCCATCGTGTACAGGGAACCCATCCTCCAAGGTCTCTCTGGCCAGTGTGGAGCCGGCCTGGTCCAGTTCATTGAATATCTGCAGGAGCAGAGGATCGACTGAGCCATCTTTGGGCTGCCCATACTTTTTTTTTTTTTTTAAATGTCTTTTGAGATGAGGTCTCTGTTGCCCAGGCTAGAGTGCAGTGTTATGAACATGGCTAACTCACTGCAGCCTCAAACTCCTAGGCTCAAGTGGTCCTCCCACCTTATCCTCCTACGTGTGTGTACCACCATACCTGGCTAATTTTTAAATTTTGTGGGGAGATGGTGTCTCACCTTGGTTGCCCAGGCTGGTCTTCAACTCCTGGGGTCAAGTAATGCCCCTGCCTCAGCCTCCCAAAGTGCTGGGATTACAGGCATGAGCTACTGCGCCTGGCTACACTCTCCTTTTAGAGGACGCCCTCCAGAGAGAGTGAGCTGGAGCAGGTGAGCTTGCTCAGGTGTGCCAACTACACAGCAAGCAGCACTGGTGGGCGGCAGCTGCACTGCCTGATGGTCTTCCCTCCCTAGCAAGAGCTCTGGGGAGGTGTGGATATTGGTACCCCAAGAAGGCTGCCAAATGCTGGGTCTCCCCTGGGAACTGACCAGAGATGTAGCCTTCTCTGAGGTGGCTCAAGCCACTGAAACTACCACAGCACAGACAGGAGGGCATGAGTACATCCCCATTTCTAGGTGCTGGTTATTTTTTTATCAAGAAGCAACAGAAAACCTGGAACATGGGAGAATGAGACTGTGGCAGGGCATACTCATCCTGAGTGCCCTGGGAGGCCTCAGTGGAAGCTGACAGGACCTGGGGACAGAGTAAGCTTCCCCAGGTTCAGCCTCATCTAAAGGCTACTTGTAAACAGAGCTTATTTACTCTCCTTGGTGGCACTGGCTCTCTATTAACTTATAAAGCAGGGCTTCTCAGAGCAAAACTTGAAAAGAAAATTAACCATTCTTCAAGACCAGCATCCTGCAATGAGGGAGGAAGCCAGCTCCATTCTTCCAGACCCCTCTATGTGCGAGAGGACTCACCCTTCCCAAAACACTACCCACTGGCATCTATCACACCAGGCCTCCATGCTGGGAACCACCCACTGGGCCCACAAGCTCTGGTGGCCAATCTGGTGGCCACCTTCCTCTCGGCACCCTGCAGCTCATCTGTCCTAATGCCATGTGTGCCTTCATGGGCCACTATGGATCTGCTACCACTGTCAAAGTTTCCCTCTTCAGCCCTAGCAGCTGGCAGCCCCCAATAGTACCTGCATGTTATACTCAAAAGCCTTGTTGGCCTCCTCCACGATCCTCTCTTTGGTCTTCATGTTCAGGTCCAGGGCGTTCATCCTGGCCCGGTAGAGCTGCTTGAACTGCTGGGCATTGTCCACATTCTCAAACAGGTAGAACTGGGTCCCTTCCCCTGTGCTGGGGAGTTTCAGTGCTCGCTGGGCCACCTTCTTCAGCACCTGGCCCCCCGAGAGATCCCCCATGTAGCGGGTGTATGCATGGGCCACCAGTAGCTCCGGCTCGTTCTGCCCTATGTAGTGGATCCGCTCCACGTACTTCTGGGCAGCCTTGGGGCACTGCACCTGCTCCTCCCAGTTTTCACCAAAGAAATACTCCATGTCCTTGGTCAGCGCCTCCTTCCGGTGCAGCTCCATGGGGAAGTACAAAGGGGCAAAGGCTGGATGGTCCTTGTTGCGCTCCATTTCCTCCTCGAGGGCTGAGTATGTGAAGTAAAGTGCCGTGGTGGCCAGCTGTGGAGGTGACAGGAGGAGGCCAGCTATGCCTGAGCACACCACATCCGAGCAGCTGGATGCAGAGGCTCAAGTGACAACCCCCAACCCCAAAGACCCAATCCTATGGTCCATTTTTATGTAGTGAATTATTTAACACACAAGGAAGCTTTTGTTTCTTAAAGGAATGGCATGGTGAAGTCTTTGGAACACGCATACTTTTGCTTCCTTCACACCACTATGTTATTCTATCTAAGCCATGAGAACCAATTTTTTTTTTTTTTGGCGGGGTAAAGAGTCTCGCTCTGTCACCCAGGCTGGAGTACAGTGGGACGATCTCGGCTCACTGTAACCTCCGCCTCCCAGGTTCAAGTGACTCTCCCACCTCAGCCTCCCAAGTAGCTGGGAGTACAGGCACGCGCCACCACACCCGGCTAATTTTTGTATTCTTAGTAGAGACAGGGTTTCACCATGTTGGCCAGGCTGGTCTCAAACTCCTGGCCTCAAGTGATCCACCTGCCTCGGCCTCCCAAAGTGCTGGGATTACAGACATGAGCCACTGTACCCAGCCGAGAGCCAGAGCTTAACGTCAAGAAGGAATGGAGTGTGGAGAAAAGCCCAGCTTTTCCCTCAGAGTGGCTCCAGGGGCACTTTTCTCATGGGACCAAGGCCCCCACCCCAACCCCATATGACAGTCTGGAACCCAATGCGGGGCACAAACCTTAAACAGCTCCTTCTTAATGTTGCCTTTCAAGAAGTCCTTGACAAACTGGGTGTTTTCTGCCCGGTCGTGTGCTTCCTTGGTCCCTTCCTTCAGGAGCTCCGAGAGGTCAGCCATTCTGTGGAGAGATGGGAGGTGTTTGTGTGTCAATTAGCCCTTCCCAGCTTTCCAGAAAGGACCATAGAGAGAAGATTGAGTCCACACCCCAAGGTGACCACCTGTTGTACTGGAGGCTGGGGCTTCTCAGACACTTCACTCCAACACAAATAGCAGCAACTTGTCAGGGAACACAGGACAAGCAGACATGACATTCTGCTCCAAGGACTCAGGACACAAGGGATAACTGTGGCCTGCTCCTTGAGAGTAGTACCCACGTCCATGTGTCTGTGTTGGGAACCACCCAAATGAGCAATGCTTTGCTTCTGTGGCCACCTAGTGGTCGAAGAGACACACATCTGTATTCCCTTCAGTATTTGCTGGCTTCTCTAAGAACAGCCTGCCTTGGAACGTGTCTTCTGGAATTCACACACCTCAGTAAGGCTGTGACCATGGGTCTCCTCAGATGGCCCTACTGCCTTCCTCCCACCTTGGACCCACAGCTTCTTTGAGACTATATGTGACTAGGACCAAGCACGGAAGGATGCAAAGGAGACAACCGAGAGGCTAGGGCCAGGACGCTGGGTTTGTGCTGCTTAACGAAATTACACAGTTGTAAAGGTGTGTGGATGGATGGACAAGGTAGAAAACATGTGATCCTAAAGATGGTGGTACTTGGGCAGGGGCTTACATGTGTCCACACAATCCATCTACAAGAGTGAGAAAAATTTGGCCTTATCATGGTCTGGCTTCTGCTGTCTTCTTTAGGAGATTAGCTCGTTATCATCCATGTGCTGAGAATCAATTTATTATTAGCAATTATTTCAAGGGATAAAAAAAAAACTTGGCCAATGACAGGGCTATGAGAGGCTAATGATGCAGAACAGGGCCTGGAAGCTCAGGTTTAGCATGAGCTGTCCCTATACAGAGTAAGGAAAGGCTGCCCTGCAGTCTTTTATGTGGTAAAAGACTGAACAGAGCCAGCTTTGCCTGCGTTTACCCTTTCTCAGCCCAGATGAGGAAACGCACAAGTTTTTAAAAAGAAAAAAGGATAACTACCATCAAATCCTATCAGCACTCCCAGGAGCACCTGCCCTGCCTCCTTGGATGAGACAATGGACCAGTGGGGAGAGTTCTAAGCAGCCGAAGCTGTATGCGGTCCCTGCAGGGCCAAGCAGGCACCCAGGGGTCCAGAGCTCATGGCCCATGGCCACTCCCCAGTGCTGCCAACAGACAAAACCAGGTGTGCTGAGCACGACAGGTGCTGGGCCCACCTGATTCAGTGCAGCCAGCCCCCATCGCTCACCTCATTTGGTTCTCCTTTTCTAGGGCCCCAGAGTTCTTTTTTTCTGACTCGTCTACCCCCTCTGAGGTTTCCACTTCCGCTGACATTGCTGCTGGGTGTGGTTCTTGCTGCTCTCGCTCCTCTGGTCCTGCAGAGACACAAGGAGCTGGTGATGTGGCACCCACGGCAGTCACTTCCCCAAATACCTGTCGGTTCTGCTTTCCTCAGAGCGAATGTAACCAAGGTGACACCCACACACCCCAGGATTGTTTTCTTTAAAATAAAGCTCTGCCATTACTGGGACCATAGTGGAATATGGAAAAAATCTGAATATGAACAATGTATTAGGTAATAGCATTGTATTGACATTAAGCTTGCTGGTTTTTAAAAATAATTGTACTGCGATTATATAAGAGAATGTCTTTGTTCCTAAGAAATACACACTGGGGTATTCAGAAGTAAAGGTACACTGCCTGCAACTCCCTGTCAGATGGTTCAGAAGACAGTGTGTGTGCATGTGCATATGCTGCAGGGTGGGGGACACTGGCAAGTCAGAAAAGCAAACAAGGCAAAATCCTAGCAGTGAATCTGGGGAAGAGGTATGAGAGTTCTTTGTACTATTCTTACCATTTTTCTGTATGCTTAAAACTGTATCAAGGCAGGGCACAGTGGCTCATGCCTGTAATCCCAGCACTTTGGGAGGCCGAGGCAGACTGGAGTTTGAGACTAGCCTGGTTAACATGGTGAAACCCTGTCTCTACTAAAAATACAAAAAATAGCCGGGCATGGTGGTGCACACTTGTAATCCCAGCTACTCGGGAGGCTCAGGCAGGAGAATCTCTTGAGCCCAGGAGGCAGAGGTTGCAGTGAGCCGAGATCACGCCGTTGCACTCCAGCCTGGGCAACAAGAGCGAAACTGTCTTAAAAAAAAAAAAAAAAAAAAAAAAAAGACCGTATCAAAATTAAAAGTTAGGCCAGACACGGTGGCTCATGCCTGTAATCCCACCACTTTGGGAGGCCAAGGTGGGTGGATCACCTGAGGTTAGGAGTTTAAGACCAGCCTGACCAACATGGAGAAACCCTGTTTCTACTAAAAATGCAAAATTAGCCGGATGTGGTGGCGCGTGCCTGTAATCCCAGCTACTCAGGAGGCTGAGGCAGGAGAATCACTTGAACCTACGAAGCAGAAGTTGCAGTGAGCCAAGATCGCGCCACTGCACTCCAGCCTGGGCAATAAGAGTGAAACTCTGTCCAAAAAAAAAAAAAAAAAAAAAAAATTGAAAGTTACCAAAAACAAAGAAAACCTCAAAAACCTTAGGGAAACAAAAAGCTTGGCAAGCAACGCACAGTTCCACCCCTCTGCAAGCGTGCTGAGGCCAGTTCATCCTACCTGTGAGAGGCTGGGTGCCTTGTGCAGAAGGCAGCCTACAGGAGTTACCAAAAAAGCAGACTGTCCCTAGCCTACTCAGGACTTTGCTAGGCTGAAGGAAATATTAAGTTGGCCAATCAATTCCCATTGCCTGCTGCAAATGCTGAGCCTTTGTCAGCCAGGGAAACACAGTCCCATAACAAGGCAAGCTCATCCTCCATCCCTCGGGGCTTCTGCTCAGGCAATGTAAGGCGCAGCCCATTTGGGGAATCTTCCACATGAATAGCAGCACAGTAGCACCGACAACTAATAAAGTAACTCACAAAGACAGAACTGGGGCCAAATCAGGCCAAACTGGGCCAAGGAAAAAGAACTTATTTACTGAGCATTTTCTATGTGCTCTACCCAGAAACAGGTGTCAAGAAGAACACAGAAGTGTTAAGAAATGGTCCTTAAAAGGCCCAAGGCACATATCCTTCCTGAGTTTTCTCTAGATACCTAGTTACATTTTTGTTATCTTTTAGGATATTATAGTACATGGTTTGCTCACTGAGGTCTTTTTGAACCATCTCTCTCACCTTTAGATTTAGCATCTCTACTGGGATTATTTTAGGAAGTCAAGCAATAACTCATATAGCACAATGCCTACCATGTGATAAGCACTCAATGAATGTTACATCATGATCATACTTTATTTTGACTGAGGCTTAGTGATGTCTGAGAACACTCAGAAAATAAACATCGGGATGTACAGAAAAATGGAACCTTCTCTTGACTCCAAATCAGAGACACTCTACTCTGCAATAATGCTGATGAACTGTACGATGCACAGCACAGTCTAGAAGAATGTGAAAGCAGGCAGGTATTACATGCAGGGAAGAGTATGCAGAGGGCTTCCTGGGGCAGGACCCTCAACACAGACAGGATTTGGGGCAGGGCTGGGGGAGGGCCTCCAGATCAAGGGAATATTATGAACAAAGCCAGAAATGGGTAGTTCACAGAGATAGCATAAGGCTGCCCAGCTGTGCGTCCACTTACCAAGGGGCAAAAACAGGCATTGCAAGCTGTAGAATAAGCCTCACATGGGCCTTCAGACCTTGATTTATAAATGTTTTCTTTTTTTTTTTTGGTAAAAGTACAGCTTTGCTAGCCGGGCGCGGTGGCTCACGCCTGTAATCCCAACACTTTGGGAGGCCGAGGTGGGCAGATCAGGAGGTCAGGAGTCCGAGACCGGCCTGGCCAACATGGTAAAACCCTGTCTCTACTAAAAATACAAAAATTAGCCAGGCATGGTGGCACACACCTGTAATCCCAGCTACTCAGGAGGCTGAGGCAGGAGAATCGCTTGAACCTGGGAGGCGGAGGTTGCAGTGAGCCGAGATGGAGCCACTGCACTCCAGCCTGTAATCCCAGCTACTTGGGAGGCTGATGTAGGAGGATTTCTTGAGCCTGGGAGACAGAGGTTGCAGTGAGTCGAGATCATGCCACTGCACTCCAGCCTGGCCGACAAAGTAAGACTCTGTCTCAAAAATAAATAAATAAAATACTTTAAATAATAAGAACAGCTTTGCTGTACACCCTTGAGGACCCTGAGAGCCAAAATTTGTCTCTGGCTGCTCAGTTCTCAGGCAGCAGAGAAAAAGGTGCTGGGATGAAAACACTGAGCTATCTAGAGGAGGGAGGGGTGCAGTAAAGGGTCCTGGAGCCTCTAGATGGGTGATGGAAGTAAAGGACCAGGCTGAGGGCACACACACACCAGGCTGAGGGTCCAGGTACCCCAGGACCACAGGCCCCATGCTTCTTACAGGCAAAATGAGGCAAAGACAAGTGCCATCCATGGCCCAGGTTACCAACTGCAGTAACTTCAGCGTGCTTCTTGCCATTTGCACCTACTTATCATGCTGCACAACAGTGATAGGGAACGTGATTAAATCTCATTAACTGTGTTTTACTCAATAATAACTGCATGCTCTGGGAGAGTATAGTCTTGCTTAATTAAACAACAAGTCCTTGTGCTTCTCCGAAAAATACAAAAAGGAGCCAGGCACAGTGGTTCGCACCTATAATCCCAGCATTTAGGGAGGCCGAGGTGGGCAGATCACCTGAGGTCAGCAGTTCGAGACCAGCCTGGCCAACATGGTGAAAGCCCATCTCTACTAGAAATACAAAAATGAGCCAGGCATGGTGGTGGGCAATTTTTTGTAATCTGCTGTCCACGACTTCAAATTTTCTACACTCAAAATAGGTTCTACCGATTTTACTTTGAAGGAAAGCTAACAGGAAGAATACTGAGTTCTCAAGGCGGGCTGAAAGTACCAACTACCATCTGTACAGACCTGGGGGCTGGGGGCAGAGGAGGCTCCTGGGAAGGCTCGGTTAGCATATTCAACCCACAGACTGGGGCCAGGGGAGGCGACCCTGTGGCCTAGCCACTGTCCAAGGGAGTGGCCACACAGTGTGGCATTCAGAGGCCACCTTGCAACTGCAGAAACATAATTTTTTTTCACTTTCTGAAAAGCTACATGTCCAGACTTAGTCTGGCTGGTTTCTATACTTGAATGCTCTTTTCTTTGCAGGAACCATTGGAATCTCTAGAAAATTGAGGGCCAAATCATAAATATAGAACCTTTTTAGACTTCAATGTCTAATATCCACAAGAAGCTACATGTTCCCCACCCCCACAAAAGAGAAAAAAAGATCCTAAAATATTCCACTCTGGGAAATACACTTCAAGAAATAGTAATAGTAATTGTAATCTGTATCAAAATAATACCCAGCCATACTATGATGTTAGGAAAAAAACAACACACAGCCTAAGAACAAAGGGCATGACTGCTCAAACAACAGTCAACAATGGAATCCTGGCACAGCCGGGGCAAGTTGATAAGCTGTGTTCATGCATGGAAAAGCCTACAGAAACTTTTTATTTTTTTAAAAAGGATCCCAAACACCGACTATAACTGTGTGCAAAAGTATACTGATAATGACAAGTGGGAAATTTGGAGAGCTATAAATACTTGTTTTTTGTTGGACTTTTTAGCCAACTGGCTGCTTCTTTTATATGGAGTGACTCAATTCTCTTGGAAAGAAAAAGGGAAGAGGGAGGGGAAGGCAGCGAAGGGAAGGGAAAAAAGAAACCGAGAGACAGGAATTGGACCAAGCAAACCAGCTAAGATCCCGCACTGCATTAACTAACTAGTCAATGGAAGCTCCTGGGTCCTCTTTTCTGTTACAAATTCTAGAAAGGCCAGTCTACCCTCTCTCTTTCCCATTTCCAAAAAACTGGGACCCTCTGTTTATAAAATCTACCTCCACTACTCCATAATTCCAGTACTCCTAGCTGTTCACCTCATCAGCTGCTGATTCTCATTCCAACACCTGAGCTAACAGAAGCAGTAACAAAGTTCCTATCACAGTTACTTCAAGCAAAAGAGGTTCCTTTAGACCAGCTCAGCAGATCCAGAACACTGTCTCAAAGCTTTTGCTCCTGCTAAATTGCTGGCATGAGGCACTACCAGGACTTCTGAGACAACGAAGATGGTAAATCCTCCTCCATGGAGACTAAGTCCAACAAATTTCAGGTCAGGTAACTCAGTGCATTGCTACCAGGTGGGAATATAATCTAAGGACTATATTATAATTCATTTCCCATCTGGTCATACAGAAAGGAACAATAAAGACTTCTTTGCCCTGGAGAAACCTGAACTGAAGGAAGAGAGCAGGTTGCTGAGCTCAGCCAGCACCGAGAGTAAGCAACAGCAGACTGACTCACTCCCTGGAATGAGAACAATTCTGCAGGCTTCTGACTCAATGAAATAGTGACACTTGACAGTGACCAGCTACTACACTGCATGAGATGCCCACAACATGAACTCGGGTTGTTACCCCACAAACACAGGGAGGCTAAGTGGCTGCTCAGAGACTTCTGCACTGGGACTCCACGAGTGCTCCCTCCCTGCTGAACACCTTGCAGTTGGGCATCAGGATTCTTACCATCACCCTGGATGGGGGTCCCCTGCCTGCTTCCTAGAAGGCTGTTTGCAGCTCAGAGCTCACTCCGATATAAAATTGCCACCATATTAATATGAGGTGATTACGCTTCAGCTTCCACAACTGACTGTCATCCTGTCTTCCCAGTTAAACCAAAAGCTTCCTACAAGAGAGATCCAGATTCCCTCAGATTCAGATCAGGGTCCAATATGACTTATAGGCCAGCACCCTGGGGAGCATCCAACCTGAGTTACAGCTGTTGCAAATACACAGATGGAGTTCCTACTGAGAAAGCCAGTTAAATAGAGGATTTGTGTGCCTGTGCCTGTGTGTGTAACAAGAAAATAACAGCTAAATTCTAAAATACCAAGTAAAGTAATACAAATTTTTAATTGGGTCCCATGTCTCTAAATTAACTGTATGAAATCTGTTTTGACTTCTCTTCAGATCTGACTTGACTCCTAAGTTTTTAACTGACAATTATATTTATGGGGTACAGTGTGATGTTTGGACACATGTATACATTGGGGAATAATTAAATCAGGGTTATTAACATATCCATCAGCTCACATGCTTATCATTTCTTTGTGGTGACAACTTTTAAAATCCACTCTTTTACCAATTTTGAAGTATACAATACTATTATAATATTAACCATATTAACTATAGTCACCATGCTGTAAGGCAGATCATCAGACCTTATTTCTCCTAACTGAAATTTTGTACCCTTTGATCAACATCTCCCCTTTCCACACCCACCCTTCCCTTCCCCCAGCCGCTGGTAACCAACATGTTACACTCTCCTTCTATAACTGACTTTTTCAGATTTCACATATAAGTGATATCATGCACCATTTGTCTTTCTTTCTTTGGCTTACTTCACTTAGCATAATGTCCTCTAGATGCATCCATGTAGTCACAAATGACAGAATTTCCTTCTTGTTTATGGTTGAGTAGTATTCCATCGTGCATAAATACCAGCTTTTAAAAATCCATTAATCCACTGTGTGCTGCGAAGACTAAGTGGGCTAACACGCATGAATGTTTGACAAAATGCAGCACCACCTCAAATATTGAGCTCTTACTGAGGAAGTCGCTGGTGAGAATGAGCAATTGGGTGATTGTTAAACACTGAGGAAGAACAAGAAATCCAGCAATTTCAGATAGTTCTGGGCAGGTCACACCTGAGGACTTCTGACTCAGACCTCATTCTCCAGCAGCGTCAGGAAATAGGAATATCTGCCCTTTCTAAGGTGAGCCACGTGAGCACTGGAGGCTAGAATACCCACATTGCAGATGCCACTGGAGATTGGCTGAGCCACATGTTTGGGGCAGCAGACAGAGCTCAATCAGTTCTAATCCAACAAGGCACGAGATAACAGAGACTTCTCAACACCCTGAAGAAGCCACATCATCTAGAACTACAGCTTCTGAGTTTATAGAATAAATGGCCTGAGGTCTCCTCTGAACTCTGGTACTACCATTCCTCAGGAAATGTTATACATAAGCCCTTTCATTTCAATCGCTGGGGGAATTCAATCCCACGGTTCACTGAACGGAAGAATAAATATTAACCTCTTGATAAAAGAGCAAATCCAGGCTGGGTGCAGTGGCTCACACCTATAATCCTGACACTTTGGGAGGCCAAGGTGGGAGGATCACCTAAGCCTAGGAGCTCAAGACTAGCCTGGGCAACACAGTCAGACCTTGTCTCTACGAAAAATAAAATAATTAGCCAGGCGTGGTGACACACACCTGTAGTCCCAACCACTCGGGAAACTGGGGCAAGAGGATCTTTTGACCCCAGGAGTTCAAGGATGCAGTGAACTATGATCACACCGTTGCACTCCAGCCTGGCAAGGGAGTGAGATGCAAAAAAAAAAAAAGAGCAAGTTAAGACTGAATCCAGCCGGGTGTGGTGGCTCATGTCTGTAATCCCAGCACTTTGGGAGGCCGAGCGGGTAGATCACCTGAGGTCAGGCATTCAAGACCAGCCTGGCCAACATGGCAAAACCCCATCTCTACTAAAAATATAAAAAAATTAGCCAGGTGTGGTGGTGTGTGACTCTAATCCCAAATACTTGGGAGGCTGAGGCACGAGAATTTCTGGAACCTAGGAGGTGGAGGTTGCAGTGAGCCGACAGTGCCACTGCGCTCCAGCCTGCACAACAGAGCAAGACTGTGTCTCAAAAAAAAAAAAAAAAAAAAAAAGACAATGAATCCTGGAAAAGTGGGGACTCTGGGGACACAAAGCACTTGAGTCAGATTACTAAATAAGCACTTGCGCATTTGGGCAAGAAGGCAGGCAAAAGCAAAACAACTGCAAACTAATTTAAAGGCATTAACCTCTTAAGTAACCTCAAAAACTGACAAGAGACCGGTTGTGGTAGCTCAAGCCTGTAATCTCTGCACTTTGGAACTCTGAGGCAGAAGGATCACTTGTGGCCAGGAGTTCAACACCATCCTGGGCAACAAAGTGAGACCCCCTCCATCTCAAAAAATACATTGAATAAAAAAGACAACTGAATAGCAGTTCAAGAAGTCCAAGACTTTTCTTGCAGGCTTTTTTACTGGAGAAGAGAAGTGTGCTCATCTCTAGCCATGTTCAAATACAACTGAGCAAGCAGTGAAGACAGACACCAAGGACAGAACCTGAGACACTGAAATGAGTTCAAAGAAGGGGCCTGGAATCGACTATTGTTGGGACAATGATGAGTCCTGGTAGAGCCTTCCTATTATAACTGAAATAAGCACAAGACTCGCCCCTGTTCCCTGATTGCCACCTCGCTTTATATGAGGACAATGTGTCCCAGGGCTGAGAAGATGAGGATTCTTTAGTTCCATAAGCAGCACCAGGAGCGGGAGGGGTGAAGTCCTGAGTGAATTCTAAAATGGTTCTGGTGGGATTTTTACAGGGACAGAGGCTAGACTTCATGCATCCCACAGGGCTGGCTTTAACTAATGAAACCTTGGGTCATCCCTAGGTTACCATCAAGCAAAAATTATTCCAACACTGAACAACCTTGAAAGCAGGTGTCGTGTGGATAAGTGGAGTCAGTCATGTTTCCTTTCATACAGGCACAAAAATTGTCACCTGTAAGCTTCAGCTTCTATCATAAACAAGGACTGTGAATAGCATTTGGGGGTGGAGGGAAAAAAAGTAGGTGATTAAGATGCATATGCAGAACTGTCATTTTGGGAAACCTGAGAGTGCCATCAGCTCCCAGGTGCTTTCCTCTCTATAAACAGCCTGAAGCCTTAGAAGCCATTCCTGGAGGCTGGTACTGGTAGCTCACACCTATAATCTCTGTACTTTGGGAGGCCGAGGCTGAAGGATCACTTGAGTCCAGGAGTTTGAGACCAGCCTAGGAAACATAGTGAGACCCCCCGTCTCTACAAAAAAAAAAATAATAATAAAATAATTTTTTTTTAAAAGAAGCCATTCCTGCCTTGGCAGAAGGCCCTCAAGTTCACCCAAGAGAGCACCAGACTATAAGTCTGACAGACCTGGGTATACCAGGCTAAGTCACTTTCAAGCAATGTCTCACTGGCTCTGAAGAAACTAAGATCAAGAGAATTAACATGGGCAAGATCACTCAGAGAGCTAATGGTCAAGTTGAGACTAAACTTGAGTCATTCTGAATGCAAGGTGACTCCTCCTGTGTCCCTGGCTAATCCTCATTGGTTCCTGCATGTGAGATTAGTATAGTGTCACCACAGACTGCTAGCAACAAGGAAACTGAAGTTATGGGCTACAGAGGCACTCGTACCACACTGCATTTATGCATGCAGTAGAGAGGTTAAACTACAGCCTGTAATTTGTTGTTTTAGTATGAAAAGTGAGCAAGAGGCCAGGCATGGTGACTCACACCTATAATCCCAGCTCTTTGGGAGGCCGAGGCGGGCAGATCACTTGAGGTCAGGAGTTCGAGAGCAGCCTGGCCAACATGGTGAGACCCCAACTCTACTAAAAATAGAATTATTAGCCAGGCGTGGTGGCGCACACCTGTAATCCCAGCTACACAGGAGGCTGAGGCAGGAGAATCTCTTGAACCCAGGAGGTGGAGGCTGCAATGAGCTAGACTGATCCACTGCACTCCAGCCTGGGCAACAGAGCGAGACTCCATCTAAAAAAAAAAAAAAAAAGAAAGAAAAGTGAGCAAGATTCTATTATTTCTGAGAAATAAGTGCTCAGGCCCAGTTGAAGATTCCGAAGTTGATGCTGCTTGTCCCTAAAACACTCACCTTGGCTCACTCAAATTACACAACAACCTGAGAAGATTGTTCCCTGGTGAGATCTATTTTTGATGACTAACAGGGCAGGCCAAGGCTGGTTCCAGCAGGGGAGGATGGCATACCCCACCACTCAGTGCCTGAAAAGAGGCAATCAGACCTGCCAGACCTTAGTGGACAATGAAGCCAGGGGCTCCAGAGCATCCCTATACCAAAGGGAGGTCACAATAGGGTCTGCACATCTCTATAGCACCCACTGCCATAGTAACTGAAGAGAAATAGACTAAACTGTGTCAAGCATGTATTGAGTATTTAAAATCTAAGCAGTTCTATCTTTCTGCCTACTGAAATATATTGTGCCTCAGAAATGGTAGTGCAATGGATAGAAAGTATGTTAACATAAACTTCCTGTAAAATTAGTAACTCCATAGGACAAGCCTTTGGTCAATCGAACAAGGTGGCTCCAATTTCTCACTCTGGGCCTGCAAGGTATCTTTACACGTTTCCACAGGCCTATAGAGTAAGGTATTATTCCTAGGCTTCTTCACAATGACTGCCCAGATTCTGGTGGGGACTGAAATTGGGGAAAGGAACAAGCCCAGACCAAGAACCAGTAACTCCACATATGGTTGGCTCATCCTACATAGACTGTGCCTATGGTGGGACAGAACTAGCAGCAGCAGCTATTGGACTTGCTCAAAGAAGGATGGTCGGCTTTCCCAGCACTACCAGCAGGCCCTGCCTACACCCAAAGAGTGGTAAGGGGAATGGAATCTGCTTCCTTCTTATCCTCTGACTCACTATCTTAATGCACAAGGCACCAAGAGTGCCTAAAAAAAGGAGGTCCTCAACTGTTTTCCTCCCTTAGTATATAGGGCCTGATTTGCACATGAATGACAACGTCCCATAGGACTAGTCGGGCAGAGTGTCCAGAAAATATATTGCAGATGATGTGAAATTACTAGCAATTAGCTGTAAATGCAGCCCTCTCTTCTACTCTAAACAACTTCTCAGAATGAGAGCCAACTTACAGGGATAATGTTTAACCCAATCAAACCGAGACTGGTCTTGACCTCCTAGCCTCAACAATCCTCCCACTTTGGCCTCCCAAAGTGCTGTGATTACAGGTATGAACCACCATGCCTGGCCAAACTTTTTTTTTTTAGACAGTCTCACTTTTTCACGCAGGCTGGAGTGCAGTGGTGTGATCATAGCTCACTGCAGCCTGGATTTCCCAGGCTCAAGTGATCCTCCTGCTTCAGCCCCCAAAGCAGCTGGGACTACAGGCACACGCCACCACACCTGGCTAATTTTTGTATTTTTAGTAAAGACAGGGTTTCACCATGTTGTCCAGGCTGGTCTCAAACTCCTGGACTCAAGCGATCTGCCTGCCTCAGCCTCCCAAAATGCTGGGAATACAAGCATGAGCCACTGCACCCCACCCAAACTTATTTTTTTAAAGGCAAAGCATTCATCAACTTCATGGTTAGTAACAAATTGTTTGGAACACATCTCATAACCACACTTAAAGAGCAGAAAATCTAAGTGACACAGTGATTACTTAGCAAAATGTACACTAGCTTTCTAGGAAAGCTTTCTAGACACTCCAGCTCTTCAAAGAAACCTTTCAGGATTGGAGCGAAGAGAAAACAGATCACCATGCATTACCCTGCCCAGTCAATGTGTTAAATTTTCATAGCCTTGTTTTCTTTTTTTTTTTTTTTGTGGCAGAGTCTCACTCTGTCGCCCAGACTGGAGTGCAGTGGTGCTATCTCGGCTCACTGCAAGCTCCACCTCCCGGGTTCATGCCATTCTCCTGCCTCAGCCTCCTGAGTAGCTGAGACTACAGGCGCCCACCACCACGCCCCGCTAATTTTTTGTATTTTTAGTAGATACGGGGTTTCACCGTGTTAGCCAGGATGGTCTCGATCTCCTGACCTCGTGATCCACCCGCCTCGGCCTCCCAAAGTGCTGGGATTACAGGCGTGAGCCACAGTGCCGGCCCGACAGCCATGTTTTCTAGTTTCCTCACCAGTATGTAACTCCCCAGACACAGCCTCCCATCACAACTGTCACTTGGCTGTAACTCACTAACTGTATAAATGGCATATGTGACTATTAATTTAGATAAATATTTAAATATTTGTATTTCTGTATGTATTATATGATAAGAAGACTGAATCCCTCCATCTGAATGAAAGTTTGTAGAAATTGGGTTCAACAAGTGTAATAGCAGGCATATGCACAGAAGTCCTTTCTGCACAGCACAATACTAATGTGTTCAAAAGACACACGAGGAGCTGGGGCAGTGGACTGGATTTTACAATGATCTCTAGAGCCTGAGCCATAGTAGGCACCCAACAAATGTTAATTAAGATGAGCCTAGCCATGAGAGAATCTACTGGCCACACAGAGGCCAAGAGGCAGCACATAGATGTGGTTAAGGCACAGGCTGTAGAAAGGCACAACCAAGAGCAAACCCTGGTTCTGCCCATCCCAGTTGGGTGGACTTGGGCCAGCTACTTAATTTCTTGGAGTTTCTTTCTTCATCTGTAAAGGACAGTGATAACAATTCCACAAGGTGGGTATGAGAATTAAATGAGATAAATGAGTTATAAAACTGTGACATCATATGGTGCTGATTAATAAACTAAAGAATATGTCACTTGCAATTTAAAATTAATGGCTGAGCCCAGTGGCTCATGTCTGTAATCCCAGCACTTTGAGAAGCCAAGGCAGGAGGATTGCTTGAGCCTAGGAGTTTGAGACTGACCTGGGCAACACAGGGAGACCCCATCTCTACAAAAAAAAATTTTTTTGAATTAGCTGGTAGGCAGACGGGGGTGGAGGGAGTGGCATGCAGTTGTGGTCACATCCACTTAGGAGGCTTAGGTGGGAAGATCACTTGAGCCTAGGAGGTAAAGGCGGCAGTGAGCTATGACTGAACTACTGAATTCCAGCTTCCAGCCTGGGCCACAGAGCGAGACTCTGTCTCAAAAAAAGAGGAAAAAGAAGAGAAAAGAAAAAAATATAAACTTAACAAATGTCCCCTAATATTTCCTTTTTCTCCCCACTCCTGGGTTCAAGCAATTCCTGTGCCTCAGCCTTCTGAGTAGCTGGGGCTACAGGCATGTGCCAACACACCCAATTAATTTTTGTATTTTTAGTAGAGCCAGGGTATTCCCATGTTGCCCAGGCTGGTCTCAAACTGCTGACCTCAAGTGATCCGCCCGCCTCGGCCTCCCAAAGTGTTGGAATTACAAGGTGAGCCACTGTGCCCAGCCTTTTTTGTGTTTTTTGTTGTTGTTGTTGTTTTGTTTTTGAGACAGAGTCTCACTCTGTCGCCAGGCTGGAGTGCAGTGGCGTGATCTTGGATCACCGCAATCTCTGCCTCCTGGGTTCAAGGGATTTTCCTGCCTCAGACTCCCGAGTAGTAGGGATTACAGGCACGTGCCACCACATCCAGCTAATTTTTTGTATTTTTAGTAGAGATGGGGTTTCAGCATGTTCGCCAGGATGGTCTCGATCTCTTGACCTCGTGATCTGCCCACCTCGGCCTCCCAAAGTGCTGGGATTATAGCTGTGAGCCACCACACCCAGCCTGTATCTAGTGCTATTAGAATGAAAATGGAGATTCTTCATGACGAACCTCAACTCAAAGTCTGTGACCCTCAGTGTAAACCATTTATTTATTTATTTAATTTTTTTTTTTTAGAGACAGGGTTTTACTGTGTCTGGAGTGCAGTGGTGAGATATTAGCTCACTGCAGTCTCTACCTCCTGGGATCAGGCGATCCTCCCAATTCATCCTTCCAAGTAGCTAGGACTACATGTGCGCACCACTATGCTAATTTTAAAAAGTATTTTGTAGACATAGGGTCTCACTATATTGCCCAGGCTGGTCTCGAACTCCTAGCCTCAAGGAATCCTATCACCCTCCCATTGTTGGGATTACAGTCAGGAGGCACCACACCTGGCCCCTAGTGTAGTTTTGATGCTGCCTGTATGGCTTTTCATGGAGACAGTGATATTTCCATTTTTTGTTTGAAAGTATATGGGGGTTAGGCACAGTGGCTCACACCTGTAATCTCAGTACTTTGGGAGGCCAAGGCAGGTGAATCACAAGGTCAGGAGCTCGAGACCAGCCTGGCAAATATGGTAAAACCCTGCGTCTACTAAAAATACAAAAACTAGCCAGATGTGATGGCATGCGCCTATAGTCCTAGCTTCTCAGAACCTGGGAGGTGGAGGTTGCAGTGAGCCGAGATCATGCCACAGCACTCCAGCCTGAGTGACAGAGTGAGATTCCATCTCAAAAAAAGAAAGAAAATAAACAAAAAGAAAAGAGAGAAAAATCTTGGGATTTCTAGCAAAATATATATATTTTTTGAGACAGAGTCTCACTTTGTCACCCAGGCTGGAGCGCAGTGGCATAATCTCGGCCCACTGCAGCCTTGACCTCCTGAGCTCAAGTGATCCTCCCACCTCAGCCCCCCAAGTACCTGGGACTACAGGCATGCAACACCATGCCCAGCTAATTTTTTGGTATTTTTTGTAGAGATGGGGTTTCACCATGTTGCCCAGGCGAGTGTTGAACTCCTGAACTCAAGTGATCCAGCCGCCTTGGCCTCCCAAAGTGCCAGGATTACAGGAGTGGGCCATAGTGCCCGGCCTAGCAAAATAAATTCTGCAAAAGACCTAAGGGAAGATATTGTATTGTTTTAGTTTAACTCCTTCAAGGAGATCCTGAACATGACTTAGGTGAAGGGCCCTCCAGTAACCGAGAATCAGGATGGAAGACAGGACACACTTTTGTTTCTTTAGAGCGACTTATAAAAAGTAAAGGTTTAATTAGGTAACTGAAAATTTACTTTGTCCTGTGACAAATCTGATTTGCATTTTTATCACATGACAACCAATCTCCAATCCAGTGTTTCTCCACTGGGGGCCAACTTGTCCCCCAAGGAACATGTTTGGAGACGTGGAAATGTTTGCAGACATATTTAGTTGTCACAACTGAAAGACGGGAGTGTGCTACTGACAATAGTGGGTAGAGGTCAGGGATACTACTCAATGTCCTATAGCGCACAAATGTGCTTGCACGCACGCACACACACACACACATACCCCACCACCACAAACAATCTAGCCCAAAATGTCAACAGCACTAACGCTGAGAAACCCTGCCGGACCACAAAAGCAGTGTGCATTCAAAAGAGGACATGAGTCTAATACCCCTCTCATCCCTTCATCAATTTACAGAGACGAGATTGTTAGTCACCTTTATCAAATATCCCTTATATAGATTTCTGAGGAAACTGAATTTCCACCAAAAAAACAGAAGAAGCTATTAGAGGCAGCTTGGCACTGCCCACAAATGACAATGAAAAGGGTTACAGTATGTTCCTGGGAATAGACCTTTTTTGTATGTATTTGGATGCCTGGAAGCTAAACATTTAAAACAAACCCAGTAACAAATCCAGGCAGGCTGAAGCCCCTGACAGAAATGTGTTTATTACTTCTTTGTGGGATGGAACATATAACTGGGAGAAATTTGATTTTCGTTTATCAGTCTGGTACCTGACTGCTAAGAAAGCTAAGAATCAGAAGAACTAACTTCTACTACCAGGTCTGCTACTAGCTAGCTGTAGGACTTCCTTGGAGCTCCAAGGAGTCATTTCTCAGTGAACTGCAGGGAGGATGGCTTTGAACAGGAGGCAAAGCAGGAAAGGCTGTGGGCCTCCCATACCCTGCTTCAGTCAGAACAGCTCCCCTCTTCCTTGCTATATTTCCTCCAAGAAAAAGCTTGTGCTGTTTCTAAAAATAAGATCCAAAAAACAACATAAGTGATAATATTGTAGGCCTGATATTATATTCAGAGCTACCTAAGTAAGCCTTTTGTGATCCATCCTAGCACTCATATCTCGTTATGGTATGTGTATGTTTATATGTTTGTTTTCCAGATTACAGGTCATTTATCTTGGCCTCCTACTGCCCAATTACACACCAGTCAGGGTTTGTTGACTGAATGAATGATTTCCAGAATACAAGGTATTCTCAAAATTGAGGCATTCTCAAAGTGCTGATGACAGAGGGCAATTAAAGGTGAATCTCAGATATAAGAATAATGGGCTGGGCGCGGTGGCTCACGCCTGTAATCCCAACACTTTGGGAGGCTGAGGCAGGAGGATCACTGAGGCCAGGAGTTTCAGACCAGCCTGGGTAACATATGGAGATCTCTGTTGCTACCTCCCCCCAAAAATTATAAAATTAGCTGGATGAGGCTCGGCGCAATGGCTCACACCTGTAATCCCAGCGCCTTGGGAGGCCAAGGCAGGTGGATAGCTTGAGTACAGGAGTTCCAGACCAGCCTGGGCAACATGGTGAAACCCCATCTCTACAAAAAATACAAAACTTAGCCAAGCATGGTGGCACATGCCTGTAGTCCCAGCTACCTGGGAGGCTGAGGTAGGAGTATCACTTGACCCTGGGGGTGGCGGCTGCAGTGAGCCAAGACCGTGCCACTGCACTCCAGCCTATGTGACACAGCAGGACTCTGTTTCAAAAAATTTTTAAAAATAAAATAAAACTAGCTGGATGTGGTGGTGAGTGCTTGTGGTCCCAGCTACTCGCGAGGCTGAGGCGGATCACTTGAGCCCATGACTGTGCCACTGCAAAAGGAAGAAAGGAAGAAAGTAAGGGAGGAAGGGAGAGAGGGAGGGAGGATGATGGCTGCCTAGTGACTAAACACTTGGTGAAAGATAAGAATGGCCTTGTGGGGGGAATAAGCATTTGATGCTTTGTGCTCGAGTAACTCACTGTTTCATGTGTGAAGGGAAAATGCTGCATTACATTGGTCTTAAACTGGCTTCCTTACATTCCACAGATATGACTACTAAGAGCGTACCTTTTAGATTTTGTTTTATGGTCTCTGAAAGCCTGATTGGTAGCATAACACTGTGTTACTTGCCCCCTCCTTATATAAAGAAATGTATACCAGCCTGGGCAACAAGGCAAAAACCCTGTCTCTACAAAAAAACTACAAAAATTAGCTGGGCGTGGTGGCACATGCCTGTCATCCCAGCTACTCAGGAGTCCTAGGCAGGAGGATTGCTTGAGCCCACAATGGTGGAGGTTGTACTGAGCCAAAAACACACCACTGCACTCCAGCCTGGGTGACAGAGTGAGATCCTGTCTCAAAAAAAAAAAAAAAAAGAAATGTACAGGCACATTTTTAACAGTCATGGTAGCAAATGCTTGCCAGCCTTCTCCACTCAACGCATACACAAACCACTGACTCCTTGATGTCTACATCTGTGAAAAAATATCCAATGTCCCCCAAGTTGTCCTTAGAGTCTGGGTTTCATAGCAGCAGCAAGGTCTCTTCATGTTGTTCTCTAGGGAAGGGGTCAGCCACAAAAAGGCAATAGTTATACAACTTTGTAACAAACCCACATCCTGTATCTATGTACATTTTAGAGGAAACACCAAGGCCTTAGGTTATCATTATTGCAAAGGAAAATGCTACAGTTATCATAATTTACTGAAAAAAAAATAAAAAATCCCAGCAGTTTGCTGTAAAACTGTGTAACTTCCTGTCACAATCTTCTCCAATGGGGCAGCACCCACAACTATACACATTAAAGTGAAGTTTAATGTCCAAGAGTTTAATTCCTTTAATTCCCAAGAGTTCCCAGAACTGGTCAAACATCATTATCTCCATTAATCATTATTCAGAGGAAATTCAAATAGCCCAGAACATCAACTACTGACTGAGGACATGATTAGGCAACAATGAATGAATAGCTTTAGAAAAAAGCAGACATAATGGAAAAGGCAACTGTCCAACAGCTCAGGCATTCTCCAGGGCTGTGAGAGGTATACTCAAGCCTGTTTTTTTTTTTTTTTTTTTTGAGATGGAGTTTCCCTCTCGTTGCAGCGAAACAATGGAGTGCAATGGCACGGTCTGAGCTCACTGCAACCTCTGCCTCCCGGGTTCAAGTGATTCTCCTGCCTCAGCCTCCTGAGTAGCTAGGATTACAGGCATGCAAAACCACACCCGGCTACATTTTTTTTTTTTTTTTTTTTTGAGACAGAGTTTCGCTCTTGTTGCCAAGGCTGGCATGCAATGGCGTGATCTCCCCTCGCCGCAACCTCCGCCTCCCGGGTTCAAGCAGTTCTCCTGCCTCTGCCTCCCGAGTAGCTGGGATTACAGGCATATGCCACCGCGCCCGGCTAATTTTTTTTTTTTTTGAGACGGAGTCTCGCTCTGTCTCCCAGGCTGGTGTTCTCAGCTCACTGCAACCTCCGCCTCCCGGGTTCACGCCATTCTCCCACCTCAGCCTCCCAAGGAGCTGGGACTACAGGCGCCAGCCACCACGCCCAGCTAATTTTTTGTATTTTTAGTGGAGACGGGGTTTCGCCATTCACAGGATGGTCTCGATCTCCTGACCTTGTGATCCACCCGCCTCGGCCTCCCAACGTGCTGGGATTACAGGTGTGAGCCACTGCGCCCAGCAATTTTATATTTTTAGTAGACATGGGGTTTCTCCATGTTGGTCAGGCTGGTCTCAAACTCCCAACCTCAGGTGATCCGCCCGCCTCGGCCTCCCAAAGTGCCGGGATTACAGGTATGAGCCGCTGGGCTACGCCTGGCTAATTTTGTAGTTTTAGAGGTCAGGCTGGTCTCAAACTCCTGATCTCAGGTGATCCGCCCACCTAGGCTTCCCAAAGTGCTGGGATTACAGGCCTGAGCCACTGTGCCCAACTTCTTTTTTTTTTTTGAGACAGGGTCTTGCTGTGTTGCTCAAGCTGAAGTGCACTGGGTCAATCAGAGCTCACTGCAGCCTCAACTCCTGGGCTCAGGTGATACTTCCAACTTAGCCTCTCGAGCAGCTGAGACTACAGGCATTCACTACCATGTCTAGCTAATTTTAAAAATTTTTTTGTAGAGACAGGGTCTCACTATGTTGCCCAGGTTGGTCTCGAACTCCTGGGCTCAAGCAATCTTTCTTTGGCCTCCCAAAGTACTGGGATTACAGGCGTGGGCCACCACGCCCAGCCTCAAGCCCTTTTTCAAACAAAACCCTACACAAATGGCCAATACAAAAAGGAAATAAGTGAGCTTCCATACTTAAAATGAGGAGGGAAAGAGAAAGGGGGCCAAAAGGGACTGAGCTCAGCTCCTCATTCCCCTCAGGACCTTGAGCTTGGCCTAGTTTGCTCAGCTGTGGTCTAGGAGACATAAGATATTCAATTAAACATTTGCTGGCTACCATTTCCCACTACCTGTGCTAAGTGACCAGTGGCTCTGGGCACGGTCTCTTATCTTAGGCCTGTATGTCCAAATCAACAGTGGGAAGCTGGGCCTGGATTAGCCACTGTTCCCAGACCTGACCTGCCCAGAGTTTTCTGGCAGCTAGGCCAGAGCTCCCTCTACTCTTTCACATATCATTTCCAGTTGCCCACTAGTTCCTTGAAAAGTTCGTGACCTTCCAAAAAACCATGTAGTTTCTGTGTCTTCAACTCACCTCATCCCCAGCATTGGTACTGAGCTCTAACCCTGTATTAGGGACAGACATACTCTAATCAGCTGTCCTTGACAGACCTTGAGCTTCAAACACTTCTGCCTCACCCACACTAGCCAGTTAAGTTGCTGTGGCCTCAGCAGTCCTCTCCTAGGAACCAGATTAGACCACTGCCTACACATGGGGACACGCTGTCCTTTGGACAAGTACTCAGGCAAGTCCCTTGACAGTTGGTGTTTGGTAAAAGGCTGTTTGTTTACAAAGGAATGTCCTAGGGTTTCTGTCTTTAATCTACTCAAATACTTCCTTTTTTGAACACAATTTGTGTTTGAAGACACAAATTAAGAGATGTGTACTTTTGAAGATGGGAAGAAAGGGTACTTGTCAGAACAATCCTTATCCTTTTTTGGTTGCAAATCCCTTTCAGAATCAGAGCAAGGCTTCAGATTCTCTCTCCAGGACAATCGTATGGTTTAAAAATGTTGCCTGTGGCCAGGCATGGTGGCTCAAGCCTGTAATCCCAGCACTTTGGGAGGCTGAGGTGGGTGGATCACCTGAGGTCAGGAGTTCGAGACCAGCCTGGCCAACATGGTGAAACCTTGTCTCTACTAAAAATGCAAAAATTAGCCGGGCGTGGTGGCAGGTGCCTTAATCCCAGCTACCTGGGAGGCAGAGGTAGGAGAATTGTTTGAACCCGGGAGGCAGAGGTTGCAGTGAGCCGAGATCAAGCCATTGCACTCAAGCCTGGGGGACAAGAGCGAGACTTCTCTCAAAAACAAAAACAAAAATAAAAACAAAAACAAAAACAAAAAAATCAATCCCTGTTCTAAAAGGAGTCTATCAGTGACATTCTCTTTTTATGGGTAAAGTTTTCAGTAAGACCCTGAGTGCTCTAAGAAGGGTTTCTTCTTTCTTTGGCCTCCTTCCTTCTCTTCCCTTCCTCCTCTGTCCTAATGGGTTCAGTACAAGTTCTCCCATTTTCTCCATTTCTCCACTCTTTAACTTCCCTGGCCTCTCAAAACTCTCATAAACCTTACAAAGTGATTTTACTGTTTTGTGTCTTCCCACAGTTACTACCAGCTCCTAGTAAACAAAGACTATGCTTGGTTTGTTGTTGTATTTGCACATCCCCTCAGTGCCAATACTCTGCATACCTTAGAAGCTCAATACAGTACAGTCAGCCCTCCATATCCATGGGCTCTGCATCAGTGGATTCAACCAACCTCAGATTAAAAATATTCAGAAAAAGGCCTGACATGGTGGCTCACCCCTGTAATCATAGCACTTTGGGACGTGGAGGTGGGTGAATCACTTAAGGTCAGGAGTTCGAGATCAGCCTGGCCAACATGGTGAAACCCGGAATCTGCTAAAAATATAAAAATTAGCCGGGGGTTGTGGCAGGCACCTGTAATCCCAGCTACTCGGGAGGCTAAGGCAAGAGAATCGCTTGAACCCAGGAGGTGGAGGTTGCAGTGAGCCAAGACTGCGCCACTGCACTCCAGCCTCGGTGACAGAGTGAGATGCCGTCTCAATCAACCAATCAATCTTCAGGGAAAAAAAAAACAACAGATGGCTACATATGTACTACACATGTACAGATTTTTTTTCTTGTCATGATTACCTAAACGATACAGTATAACAACTATTTACATAGCACTGTATTGGGTATTATAAATACAGATGATTTAAAGAATACAGAAGATATGCATAGGTTATATGCAAATTCTATACACCATTTTATATAAGAAACTTAAGCTGGGCACAGTGGCTCATGCCTGTAATACCAGCACTTTGGGAGCCCGCGGCAGGCGGCTCACCTGAAGTCAGGAGTTCGAGACCAGCCTGGCCAATATGGTGAAACCTCACCTCTACTAAAAATACAAAAATCAGCCAGGCGTGGTGGTGCACACCTGTAATCCCAGCTACTCGGGAGGCTGAGGCAGGAGAATCATTTGAACCCGGGAGGTGGAGATTGCAGTGAGCCGAAATCGTACCACTGCACTCCAGCCTGGGTGACAGTGCAAGACTCCGTCTCAAAAAAAAAAAAAAAAAAGAAAAGAAAAGAAACTTGAGCATCCTGGATCTTGGTACCCTTGAGGGGTCCTGGAACTAATCTCCACAGATACTGAGGGATAACTATATATACTTCTCAAATGGCCTCATACTACTGTTTCTTGATCCTTCTACCTTTAGGCATTTGGACTTGAATGTGGTGCCTCCTTTAAAATTTGGGCATATGAGGCCGGGTGCAGTGGCTCACGCCTGTAATCCCAGCACTTTGGGAGGCCAAGGTGGGTGGATCATGAGGTCAGGAGATTGAGACCATCTTGGCTAACACGGTGAAACCCCGTCTCTACTAAAAATACAAAAAATTAGCCGGGCATGGTGGCGGGAGCCTGTAGTCCCAGCTACTCGGGAGGCTGAGGCAGGAGAATGGCGTGAACCTGGGAGGCGGAGCCTGCAGTGAGCCGAGATCGCACCACTGCACTCCAGCCTGGGCGACAGAGCAAGACTCCGTCTCAAAAAAAAAAAAAAAAAAATTTTTGGGCATATGCACGGGTGTGATACTGTAATTTAGAAGAAGATACAGAGATAAATTTGAGGCTGGATGCAGCGGCTCATGCCTGTAATCCCAGCACTTCAGGAGGCTGAGGTGGGCAGATCACTTGAGGTCAGGAGTTCAAGACCAGCCTGGTTAATATGGTGAAACCCCGTCTCTACTAAAAATACAAAAATTAACCAGGTATAGTGGCGCACACCTGTAGTCCCACCTACTCGGGAGGCTGAGGCAGGAGAATCGCTTGAATCCGGGAAGCGGAGGTTGCAGTGAGCCGAGATAGCGCCATTGCACTCCAGCCTGGGTGTCGCAGCAAGACTCTGTCTCAAAACACAAACAAACAAAAAGATTTATAGATATATTTGATCTGCACCCTAGGTTCCTGGCACAGAGCTCCTAAAACCTTTGTAGATGGGGGCACTAGGAGAATCCTTCATTCTGATATTGGTCTTTAACCTCAGTTCCTGACACAGAGCTCCTAAAACTTTTGTAATTTCCTAAATCCCTTGGAATTTCCTGGGTAATAGGAGCATCTTTTGTTGTAAGTAAGTAACTCTTGGTGGGCTCCTAGATGGGGGCTGATTGCCTGGGGAACCAACCATGTGATTAGAGGGTGGGAACTTTCAGCCCTACCCCCTTAACCTCAGGGGACGGGAGAAGGTCTAAAGGTTGAGTTGATCACCAGTGGCCAATAACGTATTCAATTATGCCTTTGTAATGAAGCCTCCATAAACACACACACACACACACACACACACACACACACACACACACACACACACACACACACACACACCAGGGTTTGCATTAGCTTCAGGATAGCTGAATACACGAAAGTTCCAGAGAGGGCGTAGAAGCTTCATGCCTCTTCCTACATGCCTCACCCTATACATCTCTTCCATCTGGCTATTCATCTGTATCCTTTTTTTTTCTTCCAGTCTGTCGCCCAGGCTGGATGGAGTGCGGTGGCGTGATCTCATTTCACTGCAACATCTGCCCCCAGGGTCCAAGCGATTTTCCTGCCTCAGCCTCCCTAGTGGCTGGGACTACAGGCATGCACGACCACACCCGGCTAATTTTTTTGTATTTTTACTAGAAATGGGGTTTCACCACATTGGTCAGGCTGGTCTCAAACTCCTGACCTCAGGTGATCTGCCCTCCTTGGCCTCCCAAAGTGCTGGGATTACAGGCATGAACCAGCACGCCCAGCCATCTGTATCCTTCTTAATATCCTTTAGAGTAAATTGGTAAATGTAAGTAAAGTGTTTTCCTGAGTTCTGTGACCCACTCTAGCAGATTAATCAAACTCGAGGAGGGATTGTCAGAACTTTCGATTTATAGCTAGTAGGTCAGAAGTATAGGTGACAATTTACTACTTGTGACTAGTGCCTCAAGTTGGGACAGTTTTGTGGGACTGAGCCCTCAATTGGTGGGATCTGACGCTATCTCCAGATAGAGTATCAGAATTTAACTGACTTAGAGGACACCGCACCGGTGTGTCTACTAGAGAATTGCTTGGTGTATGGGGAAACAACTCCCATATATCTGGTATCAGAAGTGTTGTGTTGAGTGACTGTGGGAACAGAGTAGAAAAAAGACTTTGGGTTTTTTTGCCTTTCTCAAATAACCAGAAGAGCCACAAGCAAAGACAGAAAAGCATAACCTACAGCAGCTAGTTTCTCAGAACAGCATATTTTTCCCCTTCTGGGTCCACTTGCCTTTTTATAAACACAAAAAGTCTTACAGAGCAGGACAAATATGACACTGAACACAGACATTTGAAAATTTTGCTGAGATTGACAAATTCTCAAGTATATGGTAGAGGAATGGAGTTTTTTAAGTTATTTTCTAATTACTGGGATACCTGCTATTACCAAGCCAACCGAAGGCCTGACTTTCCCTCTGCCTTCCTACATAAAAAGAAGAGAGTAAAGGTTTAATGTCTTCTAGGTAGAAGTTAGATGACCACCCAGGCCACACTTCACCAAGTTTGCTTTTTCATCTGCCGTCAAACACTACTATCCACACTCAGCTTTGCTCATTTATTCCTTCCCTTCTCCCTCCTGCCCTCCTCCAGACTGCCACAGAGATAGTTCAAGGTGACAATGGCTCCTCTGCAGCAGCACATAGCAGTCTTGCCAGACACAACAGCAGATCAAGTAACTACTGAAGATGATGGCTACACTTGGACAGGTGACATTACATTATCATCAACAAACATTTATCACCCTCTTGAGTACTGTGACTACAAAGAAAGATAAGATCTTGCTCTGCACGTCAAGTACCTTTCAATCTAGAGAGAGAGTTAGGTGGAAAAATAAAAAGATAACATAAGGTGTACCATTCTATAAATATTAATTGTGCAATACAGACAACTGTGCTAAAGATAGAGCTTTATGTACCCGACTTTCCAGAACAATTCTGATTTCAAATACCCTGTTCCACCCAATTCTTTCAGTACACCTGTATGCTCAATGACAGGTGTTTCGCATAAAAATTATGATCATCACAGCTACTTATGAGGCCAGCCAGTCAACTAGATTAACTAAAATCAGGATGGCATTATAATGCCAGATTGTTTTATTTTTTTCTTTTTTTTTTTTTTTTTGAGACGGAGTCTCGCTCTGTCTCCCAGGCTGGAGCGCAGTGGCGCGATCTCTGCTTACTGCAAGCTCCGCCTCCCGGGTTCCCGCCATTCTCCTGCCTCAGCCTCCCGAGTAGCCGGGACTACAGGCGCCCGCCACCATGCCCGGCTAATTTTTTTTGTATTTTTTAGTAGAGACGGGGTTTCACCGTGTTAGCCAGCATGGTCTCGATCTCCTGACCTCGTGATCCGCCCGCCTCCGCCTCCCAAAGTGCTGGGATTACAGGTGCGAGCCACCGCGCCCGGACCAGATTGTTTTAATCACACTAGTACCTTCTTGCAGCCTCAGCACAGTGCTTTAATAGTAGGCCCTCTATCTCAGACATGAAAACATGAGCAAAAGCAAAAATACGAGGCCTGGCCGGGCGCGGTGGCTCACGCCTGTAATCCCAATGCTTTGGGAGGCCGAGGTAGGTGGATCACCTGACATCAGAAGTTTGAGACCAGCCTGACTAACATGGTGAAACCCCGTCTCTACTAAAAATACAAAAAATTAGCCAGGCGTGGTGGCAGACGCCTATAATCCCAGCTTCTCCAGAGGCTGAGGCAGGAGAATCGCTTAAACCTGGGAGGTGGAAGTTGCAGTGAACCAAGGTCACACCACTGCACTCCAGCCTGGGTGACAAGAGTGAAACTCTGTCTCAAAAAAAAAAAAAAAAAATAGTAGGCCCTTAGCCGGGCACGGTCGCTCCACCTCTAATTCTAATTGGGAGGCCAAAGTGGGTGGACCACTTGAGGTCAGGAGTTTGAGACCAGCCTGGCCAGCATGGTGAAACCCCGTCTCTACTAAAAATACAAAAATTAACTGGGTGTGGTGGCACACACCTGTAATCCCAGCTACTAGGGAGGCTGAGGAAGGAGAATCACTTGAACCCAGGAGGCAGAGGTTGCAGTGAGCCGAGACGGCGCCACTGCACTCCAGCCCTGGTGACAGAGCAAGACTCTAAGGAAAAAAAAAAAAAAAAGGCCGGGTGCTGTGGCTCACGCCTGTAATACTAGCACTTTGGGAGGCCAAGGAGGGTGGTTCGCTTGAGGTCAGGAGCTGGAGACCAGCGTGGCCAACATGGCGAAACCCCATCTCTACCAAAAGTACAAAAATTAGCCAGGCATGGTGGTGCATGCCTGTAGTCCCAGTTACTTGGAAGGCTGAGGCAGGAGAACTGCTTGAACCCCAGAGGCAGAGATTGCAGTGAGCTCAGATCAGATCACTGTACTCCAGCCTGGGTGAAAGAGCCAGACTCTGTTTCAAAAAAATAAAAAATAAAAAATAAAAAAGCCGGGCGCAGCGACTCATGCCTATAACCCCAGCACTTTGGGAGGCCAAGGTGGACGGATCACCTGAGGTCAGGAGTAGGAGACCAGCCCGGCCAACATAGTGAAACCTCATCTCTACTAAAAATACAAAAATTAGCCAGGCATGGTGGCATACGCCTGTAATCCCAGCTACTCAGGAGACTGAGGCTGGAGAATCGCTTGAACCCAGGAGGCGGAGGTTGCAGTGAGCTGAGATTGTGCCACCACACTCCAGCCTGGGTGACAGAGCAAGACTGTCTCAAAAAAAAAAAAAAAAAAAAAAAAAAAAAAAATAGAATAAGAAAAAGGCAGGCTGGGTACAAGATACTAGTCTGTTATGCCATTCTTCCCCACAGCCTTTTTAAAGTTACTGAGAACTATGACAGTAATTAGGCCTATAATACTCCTGGGAAGGAAACGAATCTATCTGTGAAACAAAAATTAATTTTTTCCCTAAGCTGAGTGAAGAGAATATCCACTTTGTTGGCTTCTGACATACACACTGACAGCACAGTTCACCAGACAACAATCACTCTTCTGGCGTCCCTTTCCCCAGGTATTCTATTCGCTTACTGCTCTATCTTCCCTGCCAGTCCACTCCCTCCTCTTTCCAGCCTGTGCCTTAGACAAGGACCCCAAACAAGGATCACCTGGGAAACTCCAAAAAACAGATTCCTAGTCATAATCCCAATTTTACCAAAAAAGAAGCGTTTGGAAACCCCTTAGATCGACAAGCAGCATCCAAAGACACCAAAAACTTAGGCTCATCAAGTATTAACTTCCTGCCTCAGCCTCCCAAGTAGCTGAGATTACAGGTATGTGCTAGCATCCTACTTATTGTTCACTCTGATAGAATTTTTTTTTCTTTGAGATGAAGTTTTGCTCTTGTCGCCCAGGCTGGAGTGCAATGGCATGATCTTGGCTCACTGAAACCTCTGCCTCCCAGGTTCAAGCAATTCTCCTTGCTCAGCCTCCCGAGTAGCTGGGATTACAGGCTACTTTTTGCAAGGCTAATTTTTGTATTTTTAGTAGAGACGGGGTTTCACAATGTTAGCCAGGCTGGTCTCGAACTCCTGACCTCAGGTGATCCACCCGCCTTGGTCTCCCAAAGTGCTGGGATTACAGGCGTGAGCCACCGCACCCAGTCTAGGTCAAGTTTTTCATCTCTTTCCTTTCCAAGGAGTTAAAGCTGAATTTCAAATTTTACAGTGAAATACACAATTCTAATTTTCTTTCTTTCTTTTTTTTTTTTTTGAGATGCAGTTTTGCTCCTGTTGCCCAGGCTGGAATGCAGTGGCACAATCTTGGCTCATCGCAACCTCTGCCTCCCAGGTTCAAGTGATTCTCCTGCCTCGGCCTCCCAAGTAGCTCGGATTACAGGCACACACCACCATGCCCAGCTAATTTTTGTATTATTATTATTTTTTTCTTAGTAGAGATGGGGTTTTTCCATGTTGGTCAGGCTGGTCTCTATCTCCCGACCTCAGGTGATCCGCCCATCTCGGCCTCCCAAAGTGCTGGGATCACAAGCATGAGCCACTGCACCGGGCCCACAATTCTAATTTTCAAATATATCTTCCTCCTGGAGGAGTGATATTCCAGTTTTGGGTGCAATCCTGATGTAGAGCCCAACTGTCCTGTGAAGAGAGTCAGCTGTTAAAAGGAAACCAAAAAATCAAGGTAGCTCTAGCTGTCCAATTTTACAAGTTTTCAACAGACTTGATGAGGGGTGAGCTAAAGGCGGTCAATGCTTTATTGTCTGTAACTCACTGGCACTGGCATTTCTAGAGTTGCTCACGTTCCCCCTTTTGGTGACTCACAGCACTTCAACATGTTGCCACAGCCAAGGAAAAAAGGAAATCAAGTCAGACAATGGAGGAATCACAGGATTTCCCTCTTCACATCCCCAGGTAGATGAGGTCATTCAATGAGTGTGTTTCCAAGGCTCCACAAATTCCCACACCCTCACCAGTGTTTAAACCTGAATGTTTTATCTGATAACTTTTTCTAATTTCACCAAGTAAGCTTATATATGTCTTAACTGTGAACTCCTGATAAGCACAAATTTTGTCTTGTGATAATTTATTTTTTTCTTTTTTGAGACAGGGTCTCACTCTGTCACCCAGGCTGGAGTGCAGTGATGCGATCTCAGCTCACTGCAATCTCCACTTCGTGGGCTCAAGTGATCCTCCAACCTCAAACTCCCCAGTAGCTGGGATTACAGACACGCGCCACCCCGCCCGTTTAACTTTTTTGTATTTTTAGTAGAGACGGGGTTTCACCATGTTGGCCAGGCTGATCTCGAACTCCTGACCTCAGGTGATCCGCCTGCCTCGGCCTCCCAAAGTGCTGGGATTACAGGAGTGAGCCACTGCACCGGCCAGCGTTTCTTTCTTCAATCACACTCCACCTTGTCTGGTTTGTAGCGCCATCAACAAAACACAGTACGTAAGGATGGACAGCCACAGGCCACGACAACCGGCTCATCAGAAGCGATTTTTTTTTTTTTTTTTTTTTTTTTTAGATGGAGTCTTGCTCTGTCGCCCAGGCTGGAGTGCAATGGCGTGATCTCGGCTCACTGCAACCTCTGCCTCCCGGGTTCAAGCGATTCTCCTGCCTCAGCCTCCTAAGTAGCTGGAGCTACAGGCTCACGTTACCATGCCCGGCTGATTTTTGTATTTTTAGTAGAGACGGGGTTTCACTATGTTGGCCAGGCTGGTCTCGGACTCCTGACCTCAAGCAATCCGCCCGCCCTGGCCTCCCAAAGTGCTGGAATTACAGGCGTGAGCCACCGACCCGGCCCAGACGCGATTTAAATGGCATGACACAGGCAGGCCTCGTGCAAAGACTGCAAGGAGGTCCCGGCAGCTTTTGCAGGGCAATTAATCCACCCAGAGCACTGCGCTCAGAAAGTAATAGGTAAACCCGCGTCCGGACTAACCGGCTGCCCCCACACTTGATCCCTCCCAGTCCGACTCTGCTCCAGGGCGTACCAGGGTTCACTCGTGAAGTCACGACACCCACTCAAGGGGCACTTCCTATAGAGATAAGGGCATTAGAGGAAGGGCAGAGCCCCGGTCAATGCCAACAGCCCGGGAAACAGCCAAGCCGGGCTCCAATCTCTGCCGGCATCCCCTGTCTGCACCGCCGACGCCCCCAGCTACGACCCCGGGGGTCACCTCGCCCAGCATAGCCGTGACGCTGGGAGAGGGTGGGCCCAACGGGGACGCCAAAGAGAGCCATTCAGGCCTCCCCGCGCCCCCGGGGAGACGACTTCTGGAGAGCGGCGTCCGCGGTTTCGCCCTCCCCTGACAGCCCCTCCACGCCCTTCTTCGTCCTTCTGCCCGGCCTCACCCAGCTTCCGGCCGCCCCCGGCCGGGTCTCCCCTCAGACCGGCGCAGGGGACCCAAAGGGCTGTGGCCCGGCCAAGCCCAGGTCCGAAGGCCTGGACCGAGGCAGGGCCCGCGAAGGACGCAGCGCGGTCCGAGAAGCCGGGCGGAAGGAAGGCCCCGGGAGGGCGCGGACAGCTCACCTGCCGCAGGTCGCTGTCGCCTGTCCGCCAGCCTCCAGTCAGCGTGCCCGTCAGCGACTCCCTCAGGCGCCGCAGTCCCTGCAGCCCAGCGGACTGGCGCGAGGCCGGCGCAACGTGGGCACGCAGCGCGGGGCGGGGCCTAGAGATGACACGCCCCTTGTAGCTGACACGCCCTTGCCGGGGGCGGGAAGCGGAGTATGTGGCTTTCCCCAGGTCTCTGGAGGTTGCAGGCTCAGGCTCTGCTCAGCGGGGTAAGTAGGCGTGCTTCGGCAGGAACACTAGTGTTCACAAGAGCCGAGGTGTGTGAGGGTGCCTCAGGGTTGAGCACTTTTCTTCCCCAGTGTGGTTTAATCCTTGTACATCCACTCAGTGATGTAAGAAATAGGGTTGTCAACCGTGGCACCACCCACTTGGTCACTTGCCAATGCAATCTGCGAAACTGAGTCTCAACTCTGACACCTCGGTTACCAGTCTTGTATCTGATCTCCCTGTTGCATTATTCGCATTCTTCAAACAGCGGCCAGAATGACAGAATGATTTTTCTTTTTTTGAGACCGAGTTTTGCTCGTCGCCCAGGCTGGAGTGCAATGACGTGATCTCGGCTCACTGCAACCCCCTTCTCCCGGGTTCAAGCGATTCTCCTGCCTTAACCTCCCGAATAGCTGGGATTACAAGCGCCTGCCACCACGCCCGGCTAATTTTTGTATTTTTAGTAGAGACGGGGGTTTCACCATGTTGGCCAGGCTGGTCTCGAACTCCTGAGCTCAGGTGATCCACCCGCCTCGGCCTCCCAAATCACTGCAATTACAGGCCACCGCACCCAGCCCAGAGTCATTTTTTAGTTTTACTGAACACAAAGAAATTACTGAAATCGTGGGCCGGGTGTGGTGGCTCATGTCTGTAATCCCAGCACTTTGGGAGCCTGAGGCGGGAAGATCACTTGAGGTCAGCAGTTCGAGACCAGCCTGGCCAGCATGTTGAAACCCCGTCTCTACCAAAAATACAAAAAAATTTTAGCCGGGCATGGTGGCTCCTGCCTGTAATCCCAGCTACTCAGGAAACTGAGGCAGGAGAATCACTTGAACCCAAGAGGCGGAAGTTGCAGTGAGCCAAGATCGCACCACCACTGCACTCCAGCCTGGGCCACAGAGCAAGACTCCACCTTGAAAACAAAAAACAAAAACAAAAAAAAACTGAAATCAGTGCAAGTAGCAGCAACTTCAGAAGTGAGTTAGGGCTGGGCACGGTGGCTCCCACCTGTACTCCCAGCACTTTGGGAGGCTGAGGTGGGTGGATCACTTTAAGTCAGGAGTTCGAGACCTGCCTGGTCAACCTGGTGAAACCCCGTCTCTACTAAAAAATACAAAAATTAGCCGGGCTTGGTGGCACATGCTTGTAATCCCAGCTACTCGGGAGGCTGAGGCAGGAGAATCTCTTGAACCCGGGGGGCGGAGGTTGCAGTAAGCCGAGATCGCGCCACTGCACACCAGCCTGGGCGACGGACCAAGACACTGTCTCAAAAAAATAAAAATAATAAAATTTTAAAAGTGAGTTAGGCAAAGAAAATATCAAGCGGACAAGGCCTCAAGGGATAAGACTCATGGACATAGCTTTAATTATCTTTGCCTGACGCCCAATACCTGAAAATTAAGATGTTCATGCAAGATAAAGAGGTAATTTTTCTCCTCCTCCCAGTCATCACCCGTAGCATCCGGTTAAGAGGCTCTCCACCTCGCTCATTTTGGTCTAACTGGATTTACACAAACTCACTGTGCACGTGCCTGGGGCGGGCAAACCCGGAAACGACGCCGAGTCCCGCGGGATCCAGGAGGAGCCAACTGCGCCGGAGGAGGGGTTTCGGCCGACACGTCGGGATTGGCGGCTGCAGCCAGGGGTCCTCCGACGCTGGGCTTCCGTGAGCGGCGCTCTGCCAGGTGGGGCCGGAGCTGCGGGGAGGGAGTTGGCGCCTAGCGCGCAGCTCCATCCCCGCCTCTGCAGTGGACTCGGCCGCAGAATCGGGGTCCCGGGCTCCTGGAACTTGTCCCGCCCAGGCCGCGGCGAGGAGGTCACTCCAGCCGGTGGGACCCGGGCCGGGGGGCGGGTGACTGGAACCGGGGGAGGCGGGAAGGAGGAGGGGATCGGGCCCAAGGGACACGAGGTGGGTCGCGGGACCCCGATATCTCGGGACAGGCGTCTTGCCGCTCCGGGCCCAGCCGCCCCCTTCGACACATACTCGATGCATAGACAATGGGGGTGTCCTTTGTCGCTCCTGGCGGGAACCCCGGCCCCACCCCCAACTCCACGCCTCCCATTACCCCCAGATCTCTGGACCGGATTCGTCCCATTCTCGTCCTCATGGTGGACAAGAAACTGGTGGTGGTTTTCGGAGGCACAGGTGAGCCAAACCCCAGACTGGGGCCCTTGCAGAGCCAGGGCGCCTAGCCCTGAAGACCGCCCGTCCTGGGGTCTGCAGGGAGGGGTAAGGTCACTGGGACCCCCGACCCAGGTTGGGGCTGTGGTCGCAGGAACGAGGCCCAAATTGCTTTCCAATTTTTTTTTTTTTGGACGGAGTTTTGCTCTGTCACCCAGGCTGCAGTGCGATGGCACGATCTCGGCTCATTGCAACCTTTGCCTCCCGGGTTGAAGCGATTCTCCTGTCTCAGCCTCCCGAGTAGCTGGGATTACAAGGGCATGCCACCACGCCCGGCTAATTTTTGTATTTTTAGTAGAGACGGGGTTTCATCATATTGGTCAGGCTGGTCTCAAACTCCTGACCTCAGGTGATGACCCGCCTCGGCCTCCCAAAGTGCAGGTATTACAGGCATGAACCACCACGCCAGACCTGCTTTCCAAATTAAAAAAAAATGAGTTACTTAACTTATTTGAATAGGAGTACTTGAACATGATACCAAAATTAAATCTTCTTCCTAGCCTCCTCTTCCACCTCATCTATTGCTGTTACCAAGTTTCTTGAATATCCTGCCAGAGTAGATAACATGTTATCATTTTTTCAAATGATAGCATATTATTTCATTCCTATTTTTTCTTATTTATACATATTTAATATCTCTAACAGCTTTATTGAGATATAATTCACGTACTATACAATCTACCTGTTTAAAGTGTGCAACTCACTGGTTTCTAGTGTATTCATAGAATTGTACAACCATCACCACAATCAATTTTAGAAAATTTCCATCACTCCAAAAAGAAACTCTGGCCCAGGTGCAGTGGCTCAACCCTGTAATCCCAGCACTTTAGTTGGACCAAATGGGCAGATCGCTTGAGCTGAGGTGTTTGAGACCAGCCTGAACAACAGGGCAAAATCTCGTCTCTACAAAAAAATACAAAAATTAGTGGGGCGTGGTGTCATGCACCTATAGCTACCTAGGAGGTTGAGGTGGGAGGATCACCTGAGTCCAGCAGGTCAAGGCTGCAGTGACCTGATTGTGCCACTGCACTCCAGCCTGGGCAACAGAGTGAGACCTGATCTCAAAAAAAAAAAAAAAAAAAAGAACTCCATGAACCCGTGAACAGTTACTCCCCATTCTTACTCCTCCCAGCCAACCCCTAGAAAGCTCCAATCTACTTTTGGTTTCTATGGATTTGTCTATTCGGGACATTTCATATGAATAAAATCATAATATGTAGCCTTTTCTCTCTGGCTTCTTCAGTTAGCATGTTTTCAAGGTTTGTTCATGTTGTAGTGTGTGTCCGGGCTTTACTCTTTTTTTTTTTTTTTTTGAGACAGAGTCCCGCTCTGTTGCCCAGGCAGCAGTGCAGTGGCGTGATCTCTGCTCACTGCAACTTCTGCCACTCGGGTTCAAGCGATTCTCCTGTCTCACCCTCCTGAGTAGCAGGGACTACAGGCGTGAGCCACCATGCCTGGCTAATTTTTGTATTTTTAATAGAGATGGGGTTTTGCCATGTGGCCAGGCTGGTCTCAAACTCCTGACCTCAGGTGATCTGCCCACTTCAGCTTCCTAAAGTGCTGGGATTAGAGGCTTGAGCCACCGCGCCCGGCCAACTTTACTTTTTTATTTTTAAGACAGAGTTTCTCTCTTGTTGCCCAGGCTGGAGTGCAATGGTGTGATCTCTGCTCGCTGCAACCTCTGCCTCCCGGGTTCAAGCAATTCTCCTGCCTCAGCCTCCCAAGTAGCTGGGATTACAGGTGTGCACCACCACACCCAGCTAATTTTGTATTTTTTAGTAGAGACGGGGTTTCACCATGTTGGTCAGGCTGGTCTCGAACTCCTGACAGCTTTACTTATTTTTATGGCTGAGTAATATTCCACCGTATGGATAGACTATATTCTGTTTGTCCATTCGTCAGTGGATGGATACTTGATTTATTTCCACTTTTTGGCTATTATGAATAATGCTGCCATGGAACATTGGTGTACACTTTTTTCTGAGTCAGGGTCTTGCTCTGTTGCCCAGGCTGGAGTGCAGTGGCTCAATCATCACTCACTACAGCTTTGACTTCCAAGCCTCAAGCAATCCTCCTGACTCATTCGCCTGAGTAGCTGGGACTTCAGATGAGCGCTAACAGGCCCAGCTGATTTTTTAATTTTTTGTAGAGACTGGGTCTCACCCTGCTGCCTAGGCTGGTCTCAAACTCCTGGCCTCAAGCAAAACCCATCCCCCTTACCCTCCCAAAGTGCTTAGATTACAGCTATGAGCTACTGTGCCCGGCCTCAGTCCTTATTTTTGATGCATTTCTGTGTAAATTGCAGATATGTGTACACCGCCCTTCCATACTAAAGCATGCATAACATTAGCTAGAATTCAGTATTTGTTTATAGATTATTTTTAATTATGAGGTAAAATATACATATAATAAAGAATTTTTTTTTTTTTTTTTTTTTGGAGACAGGGCCTTACTCTGTTACCCAGGCTGGCGTGCAGTGGTGTGATCACGGCTCACTGCAGCCTCAACCTCCTGGGTTCAGGCTTTCCTCCAGCCTCAGCCTCCCTGGTAGCTGGGACTACAGGCACATGCCACCACGCCCAGCTAATTTTTGGTTTTTTTTTGTAGAGATATGGTTTCACCATGTTGCCCAGGCTGGTCTCAAACTCCTGAGCTCAAGAGATCTGCGTGCCTCAGCCTCCCAAAGTGTCTGGATTACAGGCATGAGCCCCTGGGCCCAGCTGCAACGCGCAAAATCTTAAGGGTACATCTGACCGATGCGCATGCCTGTGTGACTCAAGCTCCATCGAGATCTGAATAAGTTTTTGTATTCCTTTCTGTTAACTATTTTTCTTTGTCTCGTTTTTGAGCAGATCTGAATATGGTTGTGTATCTGAATATGGCTTTATATTCTACTTCAGGAAGAATTCAAATCCCATCAAGATCTGAATATGGTTTTTTCTTTTGTTTTGAGACAGAGTCTCACTGTGTCACCCAGGCTGGAGTGCAGTGGCCCAATCTCGGCTCACTGCAACCTCTGCCACCCTGGTTCAAGCGATTCTCCTGCCTCAGCCTCCCAAGTAGCTGGGATTACAGGCTCCACCATGCCCAGCTAATTTTTTTTTTTTTTTGAGACGGAGTCTTGCTCTGTCGTCCAGGCTGGAGTGCAGTGGCGCGATCTCGGCTCACTGCAAGCTCCACCTCCTGGGTTCATGCCATTCTCCTGCCTCAGTCTCCCGAGTAGCTGGGACTACAGGCGCCCGCCACCACGCCCGGCTAAGTTTTTGTATTTTTAGTAGAGACAGGGTTTCACCGTGTTAGCCAGGATGGTCTCGATCTCCTGACCTCATGATCCGCCCGCCTCGGCCTCCCAAAGTGCTGGGATTACAGTTGTGAGCTACTGCACCCGGCCTCATTTTTTTATTTTTAGTAGAGACGGGGTTTCACCATCTTGGCTAGGCTGGTCTTGAGCTCCTGACCTCGTGATCCACCTGTCTCAGCCTCCCAAAGTGCTAGGATTACAGCCACTGCACCCAGCCTGAATATGGTTTTGTATTCTACTTTTTTTACTTTATTACATCACAAATATTTTTACCTTTATTTTTTTGAGACCAAGTTTCGCTCTTGTTGCCCAGGCTGGAGTGCAATGGCGCGATCTCGGCTCACCGCAACCTCTGCCTCCTGGGTTCAAGCGATTCTCCTGCCTCAGCCTCTCGAGTAGCTGGGATTACAGGCATGTGCCACCACGCCTAGCTAATTTTGTATTTTTAGTAGAGACAGTGGTTTCTCCATGTTGGTCGGGCTGTTCTCAAACTCCCAACTTCAGGTGATCTACCCCCCTCGGCCTCTCAAAGTGCTAGGATTACAGGTGTGAGCCACTGCACCAGGCCCTTTTTTTTTTTTTTTTTTTTTTTTTGAGAGGGAATCTCACTTTGTCACCCAGGCTGGAGTGCAGTGGCGTGATCTGGGCTCACTGCAACCTCCGCCTCCTGTGTTCAAGCGATTCTCCTGCCTTAGCCTCCTGAGTAGCTGTGACTACAGGCGGGTGCCACCACGCCCGGCTAAGTTTGTATTTTTAGCAGAGACAGGGTTTCACTGTGTTAGCCAGGATGGTCTCGGTCTCCTTACCTGGTGATCCACTCGGCCTGGCCTCCCAAAGTGCTGTGATTACAGGCGTGAGCCACCATGCCTGGCCTTTTTTTTTTTTTTTTAATACAGATTCTCGCTGTGTCACCCAGGCTGTGGTGCAGTGGCGCAATCTCAGCTCACTGCAACCTCCGCCTCCTGGGTTCCAGCAATTCTCGTGCCTCAGCCTCCTGAGTAGCTGGGAGTACAGGCATGTGCCTTCACACCCAGCTAATTTTTGTATTTTTTGATAGAGGCGGGGTTTCACCAAGCCAAGATCGTGCCACTGCACTTCAGCCTGGGTGATAGAGTGAGACTCCATCTCAAAAAAATAAAATAAAGAAAATAAAAATACCTGAATGAGAATCGTCGTTGAGAAGGTTTCCTGGATGCTCCTTGCTGTGGTGGAGCACTCCCTTCGGGGTTTCGCCCTTCAGTGGGACTTTCAGGTAGGTCTGACCTGAGAGGTCTTTTTGATTCTTTGTAGGTGCCCAGGGTGGCTCCGTGGCCCGCACACTCCTGGAAGATGGGACATTCAAGGTTCGAGTGGTGACCCGAAACCCTAGGAAGAAGGCAGCAAAGGAGCTGAGGCTGCAAGGTGCAGAAGTAGTGCAGGGAGACCAAGATGACCAGGTCATCATGGAGCTGGCCCTGAATGGGGCTTACGCCACCTTCATCGTGACCAATTACTGGGAGAGCTGCAGCCAGGAGCAGGAGGTCAAGCAGGTGAGGGCAGGCAGGAGCTGCAGGGAGGCCCGGCCAGGCTAGGAGCAGAGCGCCTGGGAGGAGCTCCGACTCTGCAGGGAGGTTGGAGCACTGCAGGCCTTTCCCTCTTCTTCATGCCTCTGCCTGCTCTAGGCTGTGAAGCAGGTGGACGCTGTTGCTTTCTCATCCAATTACTTTTTTTTTGTTTGTTTGAGGCCGTCTCAGTCTCCGTGAGCAACCACGCCTGGCCTGTTCGTTTGTTTTTTTTTTTTTTAATCAAAAATGTTAGAAGTTTTTTTTAAAAAGTAATTTCCACTTTTATTTTAGATTCAGGGGTACATGCACAGGTTTGTTACATTGGTATATTGAGTGATGCTGAGGTCTGGGGTGTGACTGGACCTGTCACCCAGGTAGTGGGCACAGTACCCAGTAGGTAGGTTTTCAACCCTTGCCTCCCTCCCTCCCGTGGTTCCCAGTGTCTGTTGTTGCCTTCATGTCCACGTGTACCCATCCAAACTTGTTATTAGCCTTGACCCTTTCTTCAATTATGGTCTTACCTAGAAGCCCATTATATAGAGCAGACAAAGACAACTTCTCTGATTAACGCAGATCTTTTTTTTTTTTTTTTTTTTGAGACTGAGTCTTGCTCTGTCGCCCAGGCCGGAGTGCAGTGGGGTGATCTCGGCTCACTGCAACCTCTGCCTCCCAGATTCAAGCAATTCTTCTGCCTCAGCCTCCCGAGTAGCTGGGATTATAGGTGTGTACCAGCACACCCAACTAATTTTTGTATTTTTAGTAGAGGCGGGGTTTCACCATGTTGGCCAGGCTGGTCTTGAACTCCTGACCTCAGGTGATCCGCCCACCTCGGCCTCCCAAAGTGCTGGGATTACAGGCGTAAGCCACATGCCCGGCCCTGAGCTGATCTTATTTCTTTCTTTATTTTTTGAGGCCGAGTTTCGCTTTTGTTGCCCAGGCTGGCATGCAATGGCGCAATCTTGGCTCACCGCAACCTCCGCCTCCTGGGTTCAAGTTATTCTCCTGCCCCAGCCTCCCGAATAGCTGAGATTACATGCATGCGTCACCATGCCCTGGTAATTTTTTTGTATTTTTAGTACAGACGGGGTTTCTCCATGTTGGTCAAGCTGGTCTCTAACTCCCGGCCTCAGGCGATCCGCCTGCCTCGGCCTCCCAAAGTGCTGGGACTGCGGGCATGAGCCACTGCGCCCAGCCCAGCAGATCTTATTTCTAATCCTGATGATTCCCTGTGGGCTTCCTGGTACTGTCACGAAAAAGGACCACAATCCACGTGGCTTAAAACCATAGAAATCAGCTGGGCACAGTGGCTCATGCTTGTAATCCCCACACTTTGGGAGGCCGAGGCGGGCAGATCACTTGAAGTCAGGAGTTTGAGACCATCCTGGCCAACACAGTGAAACCCTGTCTCTACTAAAAATACAAAAATTAGCTGGGCATGGTGGTGGGCGCCTGTAATCCCAGCTACTCAGGAGGCTGAGGCAGGAGAATTGCTTGAACCCAAGAGGCGGAGGTTGCAGTGAGCCAAGATTGTGCCACTGCACTCCGGCCTGAGCGACAGAGCTAGACTCTGTCTCAAAAACAAAAACAAAAACCACAGAAATCGATTCTCTGATATTCTAGAAGCTAGAAGTTCAAAATCAAGGTGTCAGCAATGTCACCCTCTCTCCAGAGTCTTGGAGGCCAGGCGTGGTAGTTTATGCTTGTAATCCCAGCACTTTGGGAGGCTGAGGTGGGCAGATCACTTAAGGTCAGGAGTTCAAGACCAGCCTGGCCAACACAGCAAAACCCTGTCTCTACAAAAAATACAAAAATTAGCCAGGCATGGTGGCGGGCACCTGTAGTCCCAGCGACTCAGGAGGGTGAGGCAGGAGAATTGCTTGAATCCAGGAAGCGGAGGCTGCAGTGAGCAGAGATCACGCCACTGCACTCCTGCCTGGGTGACAGAGTGAGAGTCCATCTTAAAAAACAAAACAAAACAAGGGGTTTGAGGGAAATCCTTCTTCACTGTTTCTGGCTTCTCATGGCTCCAGGTGTTCCTGGGCTTGTGGCCACAAAGCTCCAATCTCCGCTTCCCTCTTCGCATGGCCTTCTCCAGGTGTTGTCTCTTCTCCCGTCTCTTATAAGTACCCTGGTTACTGGATTTAGCGCCTATCTAGTTAGTGCAGGATGTTCCCATCTCAAGATCCTTCACGTAATTACATCTGCCAAGACCCTTTTTCCGAATAAGGTCACATTCACAGTTTTCAGGAATGAGGATGCGGCATATCTTTTTGGAGGCCACCGTCCGAATCTCTGCGTCACCTCATGCAGTAGGTAGTGTTGTCATCTGCATTTTACCAGCGAGGTCAGGATGGTGCCATCACTTCTCTGGGGTCACACTGCTCGTACATGGCAGAGCCTGATTTGAACCTAGGCAGCTGTGGTGCCTCTGTATAGCCTCCCAGGGCTCTCCAAGGAAGATGGCTGAGCTCCATGGGCAGGGTGTTCTCACACCAGCAGAGATGGGACGTGTGCATTCTCCTTTAGACCTCCATGCAGGCCGTCCCCCTGCAGCCGACCTGCCCCCCCGTCCTATGTTGCACATGGTGGGCCAGAGTCAGTGGCTGGTAGAAGGCTTCCGGGGCTGTGTTTACGGGCGTGGTGTCATGTGTGAACATCATTCCAGGAGAGGGGGCCTCCTCAAGGGTAAGTGGGGTCTAGATGTTAACCTCGCAGATGGTGGCCGCTCCGGGATTAGAATGCTGGGGCTGTGACCAGGGACAGACATCCTTCTTCTGAGCCTTGTGATCTCTCCTTCCCTGCCCTCCAGGGGAAGCTGCTCGCTGATCTGGCCAGGCGCCTGGGCCTCCACTATGTGGTCTACAGCGGCCTGGAGAACATCAAGAAGCTGACGGCAGGGAGATTGGCCGCCGCGCACTTTGACGGCAAAGGGGAGGTGGAGGAATATTTCCGGGACATTGGCGTTCCCATGACCAGTGTGCGGCTGCCCTGCTATTTTGAGAACCTCCTCTCCCACTTCTTGCCCCAGAAAGCCCCAGACGGAAAGAGCTACTTGCTGAGTAAGTGCCCTTTCTCGCACACGGTGAGGCAGAGCTCTCACCCTGTAAAGCCGTTGGTGTAACAGACCGCGGGCCGCTGTCACGTGGTGCCAGGTTCAAGCCGTGGCTCCCTCACGTTAGGCCCAGGACTGAGCACATCCTGTCAGCTTGCGGGGCCTCAGCTTCCTGTTCTGTGAGATGGGCTCTATACCAATGTTTGCAGGGGTGGCAAGATCTGCTGAGATGGTGGTGACACGATATTCGCTTGGTCCATTGGAAGGCTTTACAGAGAGGACCTAGTGATTGTCAGTTCTCCTTCAAAGATGAGGAGGGCCGGGCGCTGTGGCTTATGCCTGTAGTCCCAGCACTTTGGGAGGCTGAGGCGGGGAGACCAGCCTGGCCAACATGGTGAAACCCCATCTCTACTAAAAATACAAAAATTAGCTGGGCGTGGTGCCACCCACCTGTACTGGCAGCTACTAGGGAGGCTGAGGCAGGGGAATCGCTTGAACCCAGGAGGTGGAGGTTGCAGTGAGCTGAGATTGTGCCACTGCACTCTAGCCTAGGCGACAAGAGCAACACTCCGTCTCAAAACAAACAAAACAAAACAAAACAAAACAAAAAAACCAAAGACGAGGAGAGGATTTGGAAAATGAAGTTCAGTTGCAGATTTCACAAACTAGGAAAGCTCTTTCTTCTCAGTGCCCATTGGGGCTATAAACAGGTTAGGTGCACTGGCCCTGGCTGGGAACAAGGCTCACCCAACCTGTGTCCTGCTGGTCACTCAGTGATCAGGGCAGGAGGGGTTGGTGCCTCTGGCTGGCCACTCCTTACCCTCTGGTTGAATGCCAGGTCACCCTCGCATAAGGGCCCAGCCCATGGGAGTCCTGCTCACCTGGCGGGCCAAGTCTGGTGGTAACAGTAGCCCTTTGGTACCACCATTTATTATAGTTTGCAAAGCTGGCCAGGCGCAGTGGCTTACGCCTGTAATCCCAGCACTTTGGGAAGCCGAGGTGGGCAGACCACCAGTTCAGGAGTTTGAGACCAGCCTGGCCAGCATGGTGTGAAACCCCATCTCTACTAAAAATACAAAAATTAGCCAGCCTGGCGTGGTGGTGCACGCCTGTAATCCCAGCTACTCGGGAGGCTGAGGCAGAAGAATCGCTTGAACCCAGGAGGCAGAGGTTGCAGTGAGCCGAGATCGTGGCACTGCACTCCAGCCTGGGTGACAGAGCAAGACCCCGTCTCAAAAAAAAAAGGCCGGGCACGGTGGCTTACGCCTGTAATCCCAGCACTTTGGGAGGCCGAGGAGGGCGGATCACGAGGTTCAGGAGATCGAGACCATCATGGCTAACTTGGTGAAACCCCTGTCTCTACTAAAAATACAAAAACTTAGCCGGGTGTGGCGGCAGGCGCCTGTAGTCCCAGCTACTCGGGAGGCTGAGGCAGGAGAATGGTGTGAACCCGGGAGGTGGAGCTTGTGGTGAGCCAAGATTGCGCCACTGCACTCCAGCCTGGGCGACAGAGCGAGACTCCATCTCAAAAAAAAAAAAAAAAAAAAACCTGCAGTCAGGGATATCTCCTGCTCCGGTCTGTGCGCTCTGTGCCCTCGAGCTCCCAGGTGATCTGAACAGGAAGCTGCACTGGCCCCTGTCTCTAGGTAAGGAGGATAGGACCCAAGCATTCCACAGGCCACACCCAGACAGTTGCCAGCCTCCCCATCTACAAAACCTCAGCCTGGAAGTTTGCGAGTCATTCATTCATTCAGGATTTATGAAGCATTTATCATGGACGTGCTGCTCTAGGCCAGCCGTTGGTGTCTGGTTAATCAGGATTCCTGGTAAGTGAGTTGGTATTTGGAGTATCTACTCAGAGGTGGACGTTCCAGCTTCCAGGAATCTAGGATATGACAGAGTACTTCAGGCTGGTGCCTCCAGATTAGCGGAGACCCTGGGCTCCAGCCACACTCTCTGTAGCAGCTTTCAGAGTCCTTTTCCTTTGTCCCTTCTCTGTCATCCTAGCGCTGAGAGAGCTGGGCAGGCCCAGGTTCTTAGCCCCATTCTAGGAATGCAGCAACCCAGGCTCAGAGAGCCTCAACAGCCTGCCCTAGGTGGCAGTACCCGGATTCCATCCCGTTTCCTGACTCAATTCCACTGCTGCCTCTGTGCTACCACAAATAGCAAGACTTGTCTTAGCTATGCCCGAGTGCTGGAGTGTGCAGCTGACTGCTGGGAAGAACCAGCTTGGACCCTTTGGAGAGGGGCTCTGTCCCTGCCCCTGTCTGCCCTCGGGACATATACCAGCTCACGTCTCTGCCCCACAGGCTTGCCCACAGGTGACGTTCCCATGGATGGCATGTCCGTGTCTGACCTGGGTCCTGTGGTGCTCAGCCTTTTGAAGATGCCAGAAAAATACGTCGGCCAGAACATCGGGCTGAGCACTTGCAGGCACACGGCCGAGGAGTACGCTGCCCTGCTCACCAAGCACACCCGCAAGGTCGTGCACGATGCCAAGGTGGGCCTCCCGCCCCAGGTGACTCAGGCATCCTTGTCAGGGCTTTCTAGCTCCCGTAGGGAGGGTGTGTCCAGGGCTGCCCACACCTCTGGGCAGTACATCTAAATTCATTCGTTCATCGTCAACGTTTATTTTCTGCTGTTCCAGGAGCTAACTGGCCACAGAGTGAAATTTCTGGCTTAGATGTTTTGACCAAATAGAGAGAAAAGCTTCCAGGAGGAGAGGGCCATAGGAGCCAAGGCAAGGAGGGGTGAAAATGCAGGCCCTGCCGGGCTCCTCTGTGGGAGGGAATTTGAAGAGAAAAGAGTCTGGAAAGATAGACCCGACCCCTCCCCTGTGGGAGGGGATTTAAAGGGAAAGAGGCTAGAAAGATAGGGCCGACCCCTGCCCCCATTGGCCTGGCTGGGTGGGCAGGAGGCCTACTGGACAGACTCTTGGGTACCTGGTTTCTAATGTTTGTCATTACCATTAGGAAAGTAAGACATACTCATTAAAGAATCTGGGAGGCTGGGTGCAGTAGCTCACGCCTGTAATCCCAGCACTTTGGGAGGCCGAGGCAGGTGGATCACCTGAGGTCAGGAGTTTGAGACCAGCCTGGCCAACAGGGTGAAACCCCATCTCTACTAAAAATAAACAAATTAGCCGGGTGTGGTGGCAGGCGCCTGTAATCCCAGCTACTTGGGAGGCTGAGGCAAGAGAATCGCTTGAACTCAGGAGGCAGAGTTTGCAGCGAGCCGAGATGCCACTGCACTCCAGACTGGGCGACAGAGCGAGACTCCAACTCCAAAAAAAAAAAAGAATCTGGGAAACACTGGAGTCCTTAAAAGACGAAAGTTGGGTCAGGCGCGGTAGCTCACACCTGTAATCCTAGCACTTTGGGAGGCTGAGGCGGGCAATTACAAGGTCAGGAAATCGAGACCATCCTGACTAACACGGTGAAACCCCGTCTCTACTAAAAATACAAAAAATTAGCCCGGCGTGGTGGGCCTAACTCCTGGGCTCAAGCGATCCTCCCACCTCCACCTCCCAAAGTGCTGGGATGACAGGTGTGAGCCACTGTGTCTGGTCAAGCTTTGGTTTTTGAGAAAGAAAGTGATGCAGGCAGGTCTCTGATTTGGAAGGGACTGAGATATTTTCGTCTCATGATCTGAAAATAATAGTCTTTTTATTTATTCATTTTTGAGACAGGGTCTCACTCTTGTTGCCCAGGCTGGAGTACAGTGGGGTGATCTCAGCTCACTGCAACCTCCACCTCCTGGTTTCAAGCGATTCTCCTGTCTCAGCCTCCTAAGTAGCTGGGATTACACGCACCTACCACCAGGCTGGCTAATTTTTGTATTTTTGAAAGAGACGGGGTTTTATCGTGTTGGCCACGCTGGTCTCGAACTCCTGGCCTCAAGAGATTTGCCTGCCTCAGCCTCCCAAAGTGCAGGGATTACGGGCATGAGCCACAGCATCTGGCCAAGAACAATCTTTAAACTGATCTACAATGTCAGGCAGCTCAGGAGAGCAGCAGTTTCTGAACTTTCGGCTCTTAGAAGTTTTCAAATGACCTTGTACGGAGGACCTGGGTCAGGGACCGAGACAATAGTGGCTCTGGGTGTAGCAGGTCGGGAGACCCCAGCCCATCCGGCCTCCCTGCCCCGCCACCTCCCGGGGCACTGGAGGACGCCGGCCACGACAGGCTCCTCTGCTTCCAGATGACTCCTGAGGACTACGAAAAGCTTGGCTTTCCCGGTGCCCGGGACCTGGCCAACATGTTCCGTTTCTATGCCCTGAGACCCGACCGTGACATCGAGCTGACCCTGAGACTCAACCCCAAGGCCCTGACGCTGGACCAGTGGCTGGAACAGCACAAAGGGGACTTCAACCTGCTGTGACCTGCCCGCCTCGCGGCCCCTTGTGGGGATCGGGGGCACCAGAGGGGCAGAGGCACCAACATCTGAATAAAGCCATTGTTCTCCCAGATGGCTTCCAGGAGAAGAGGACTCTGCTTCCAGGACTTGGGTTGGGGTGGTAGTTGTGTACCAACACAACAGTAAGTGGTTGGGGAGGGTCCGGGGCTGTACCAACACAGCAGTAAGTTGGAGCGGGGGGGGGGGGTCCAGGGCTGTACCAACACAGCAGTAAGTGAGGGGACCCGGGGTTGTACCAACACAGCAGTAAGGGGTGGCTCCAGGGCTGTACCAACACAGCAGTAAGGGAGGGTCCAAGGCTGAAGGGATCACTTGGTGACTGGGACGAGTGACCTAAACGTGTTTAGTCAGACAGGTGTGAAGTGGCCTGTTCTGACCTCAGCTAGCAGAACAGCTCTGACCAGCAGCCTCTGTTCCCACATTTGAAATTCATTCACAGACGGGGACATAGCACAGGACACAGAGGAGCCCCAGGAGCCGAGCTTCTGACACACCCCTTTCATCTCCAGAGCTAGTGAGGCCATCTGCACATGTGAACTGGAGACAGGCTCTGCAGGGAGGCGGGGGAGATATGGGCTTCTCCCTTTCTCTCCTCATCCTTGTCCTGGAAGGAGCCGGCCTTGGGGTACCATCCTGGACACAGGTGAACTTCAAACAGGTTGGAAAAAGGAAAATCGGATGTGGCAGAGCTGTGGTCCACAACGCACAGTAATTGGACACTGCTGGGAAGCAAAACTGAAGGAGAAACAACCCACCTTGCTTGCTGGGGTGGGTCACAGAGAAGAGGGTCAGAGGCCGAGAGACCAGTTATTTGCCTGAGAGTTTGTGGTCCATGGCAGCTCCGATTTTTTTTTTTTTTTTTTTTTTTGAGACGGAGTCTCCCTCTGTCACCCAGGCTGGGGTGCAGTGGCACGATCCCAGCTCACTGCAGCCTCCACCTCCTGGGTTCAAGTGATTCTCCTGCCTCAGCCTCCCGAGTAGCTGGGATTACAAGCATGCACCATCACGTCCAGCTAATTTTTGTATTTTTAGTAGAGACGGGGTTTCACCATATTGTCCAGGATGGTCTCGATCTCTTGACCTCGTGATCCGCCCGCCTCGGCCTTCCAAAGTGTTGGGATTACAGGCATAAGCCACCGCGCCTGGCCAATTTTTTTTTTTTTTTTTTTTTTTTTTAAAGAGTCAAGGTCTCGCTCTGTTGCCCAGGCTGGAGTGCAGTGGCACAGTCATAGCTCACTGCAGCCTTCACCTCCCAGGCTTAAGTGATCCTTCCACCTCAACCTCCTGAGTAGCTGGGATTATCGTACAGGTATGAGCCACTGAGCCCAGCAGTTCTGTGAATTTCAATTCAACACATTTAGGTTTGTGTGACTACCATCACAGTTTTTATTTTTTTACTTCCCCACCCTGGCTCTGGCACCCCCAGGCACAAAAATTCATTCTATCCATTGACTGAAGCATTTCTTTGACAATTTACCAGTATGCTGGGCCCTAAATACAATGTAGCAAAAAAAGTTATGCTGCCTGCCTTGAGGAGCTTATATTTAGTGGGAGAGCCTGATAGAAACACACAATAAATAGTTATGTATCTACGCCTGTAATTCCGGCACTTTGGGACGCTGAGGTGGAGGATGGCTTGAGTTCAGGAGTTCGAGACCAGCCTGGGCAACATAGCAAGACCCCATCTCTACCTAAAAAAAAGAAATACAAAAGAAACTAGGGCCAGGCGTGGTGGCTCATGCCTGTAATCCCAGCACTTTGGGAGGCCAAGGCAGGTGGATCAGTTGAGGTTGGGAGTTCGAAACCAACTTGGTCAACATGGCAAAACCCTGTCTCTACCAAAAAATACAAAAATTAGCTGGGCGTGGTGGCGTGTGCCGGCAGCTACTCAGGAGGCTGAGGCAGGAGAATCAGCTGAACCCAGGAGGTGGAGGTTGTGGTGAGCCGAGATTGTACCACTGCACTCCAGCCTGGGCGACAGAGGGAGACTCTGCCTCAAAAACAAAAAAACAGAAGAAATGGTGGCAGGCGTGGTGGCATGTGCCTGTACTCCCAGCTACTCAGGAAGCTGTGGTAGGAGGATCACTTGAGCCCAGGAGGTCAAGGCTGTGGTGAGCTGTGATTGCACCACCACAAGCCAGCCAGGGCAACAGAGTGAAAGCCTGTCTCAAAAACAAAACAAAACCCAAAAAACAAATTGACATAAGGGCTGCAAAAAACAAAACAGGAAGGATAAATAAATGGGGACAGGAGCAGCATCGGGGGAGGTGACCAGTAAGCTAAGGTCTGTGGATCATGCCCTTGGCCATATAACTATGGACCCACTTCGCCTTTTATGTTCCCCCCTGGCCCATTTGTGACCCTTGAAGAGTCATGAGAAATAAGCAGAACTTCTAGTTAAAAGATAAGACCTGCACAGTATTTATTAACAAGCAAGAGTGTGAAACAAGCCTCTTCCAGGAGCCGTGCAGCTGCCGTCCTCCACATCAGAGCCGGCTCTGCAGTGCTACAAACACAGAGGGGCAGGGGCAGCTGGAGGCCTGTGGGCCTGGAGAGAATTCTTGCACACTGTTTGGTTGACAGGGAAGGAAACAAAGGCCAGGCCACCAGAACCCAAAGGACTATGAGTGAGGAGGGGGCTCAGGTTGGAAACAACCCAGTCCCAGGCCTGAGGTGGGAATGGGGCTGAGGACCAATGCCTGAGAGCTGGCCTTGTCCACCCTCCTAATGTTTTTTTTGAGATGGAGTCTCACCCTGTCACCCAGGCTGGAATCCAGTGGCGCAATCCTGGCTCACTGCAACCTCCACCTCCAGGGTTCAAGCGGATCTCCTGCCTCAGCCTGCCGAGTAGCTCGGATTACAGGCGCCCACCACCAAGTCTGGCTAATTTTTGTATTTTTAGTAGAGACAGGGTTTCACCATGTTGGCTAGGCTGGTCTTGAACTCGTGACCTCATGATCCGCCCACCTTGGCCTCCCAAAGTGCTGGGATTACAGGTGTGAGCCACCACGCCCGGCCCACCCTCCTAATGTTTAAGCAAGTGCCAAACATGTACCTCCCACAGGCTCACAGGCCTAGAAATACTTTATTTTCTTGAGACATGGTCTGGCTCTGTCACCTAGACTGGAGTGGAGTTGCATGATCACAGCTCACTGGAGCCTTGAACTCCTCAGCTCAAGCAATCCTGCCACCTCAAGATTTCTAAGTAGCTGGGACTACAGGTGCCAAGCCACCACTCCCAGCTAATTTTTTAGAATTTTTTTGTAGAGATGGGGGTCTCACTCTCTCGCTCCTGGGCTCACACATTCCTCCCTCCTTGGCCTCCTAAAGTGTTCAGATTACAGGCGTGAGCCACCATGCCTGGCCCTTTTCTTATATTTTTAAATACATACTACTACTCAGAAGCTATAAAGAAGTCTGGTAACAAATACATCAGGAGCACAAGTGGAAATAAACCAAACCCAGGCCCAGAAAGAGCACTGAATTCTACAGCTGTTGCACGGCCACCTTTTTTTTTTTGAGATGAAGTCTCGCACTGTCGCCCAGGCCGGAGTGCAATGGCATGATCTCCAATCACTGCAACCTCCACCTCCTGAGTTCAAGTGATTCTCCTGTCTCAGCCTCCTGAGAAGCTTGGATAACATGCATGTGCCACCACGCCTGGCTAATTTTTTTGTATTTTTATAGAGACGGGGTTTCACCATGTTGGCCAGGCTGGTCTTGAACTCCTAACCTCAGGTGATCCACCCGCCTCAGCCTCCCAAAGTGCTGGGATTATAGGTGTGAGCCACCTCGCCTGGTCATGCACAGCCACCTCTAATCCCTTGAGGGAAGGATGCTTCAACACAACAATGGTTTCTGTTTAGCAAGAAAATCCACCTTTCTCTTCCAAAGTCTTTCTCTAGACTTCTGCTTTGAAGCAATAGGACATGAATGAGACTCAGGGTGACTGTTCCAGGAATAAGCCCAAGCTTTCACAAGAGACACGGTCTAGCTCCCCACTGCTGTATCCCCAGGAACTAGAATAGGGCCTGGTCCATACTGAGTGTCCACAGTAGGCAGGCAATCAGTATTTCATTGATGAAAATACTGGGAAGTATCTGAGATGAGCAGAATGTCACTGCTGAGCCTCTCCTGTCCGTCAGCTCTTTCCCGAGTCTCTTCTCCACCTGACCCAGCAAACAGACTCTCATCTCACCCTGCTCAGCCCAGAGTGCCAGAGTGGACTGAGCTGTGTATCAGGGCCCCTCTAGCCACGCCAGGCATAGAGCGTGGCTGGGAACCCAGAGTAGCCAAACTATAATACATAAAAATTTTGGTCAGGCATGGTGGCTCACACCTGTAATCCCAGCACTTTGGGAGGCCGAGGTGGGCGGATCACCTGAGGTCAGAAGTTCAAGACCAGCCTGGCCAACATGGTGAAACCCCCCATCTCTACTAAAAATACAAAAATTAGCCAAGCGTGGTGGCATGCACCTGTAGTCCCAGCTACTCAGAAGCCTGAGACAGGAGAATCGCTTGAACCCAGGAGGCAGAGGTTGCAGTGAGCAGAGATGGTATCACTTCACTCCAGTATGGGCGACACAGCGAGACTCCATTTAAAAAAAAAATAAAATAAAATTGAATGTAAAAGATGCAAAGACTGGAAAGAATGAAGGGAAACAATCCAGTGAGGGAGACTGAAATGCAGGGACCCAGGGACATTGGCCAGCTCTCACAGCATGGGCTCCCAAGAAAAAAGTCACATCCAGATTCTAGAACATTCACTCACAGGGGACTGTTGTGTCATGGCAAGCACCCTGCTCTGGAATCCAAGTGAGGGTCAGCACTGTCGGCACCCCAGACCCATCTGCCTCTATGTGCTCTGGGTGGCTGTGAGCACAGGATGAGGCCAGCCAAGTCTCCTGTAACCCCCATAAGCCACCTGCAGAGGCTGTCTGAATTCTTTCAAAGAAGAAATGACCACAATTTAGGTTTGAAATATCTTTTTGCAATAGATAATCTTATTTACATTAATACAGAATCATTTTACATTCCTAAATCAGACACTAATAGATGCTTTATTTTAGTGAATTATAAAGGAAAACAAAAAGGAAACTGTTGAGAAGTGTTCTTCATTAACCTGTCTAACGACAGCCCGAAGATCCTGAAACACATGGAAACTGCGACATGCTACCAGCAGAGGCTGGGGAATGGGGGTTCTGCTCTCACTGAATGGTGGGGAACCTTCAACTGCTTAGCCTGTGCTTTCCTTTTCTGAATCAACATTTACAAAGGAAAAAACAATGATTAGCACTGAATAATTTAAACACACTTCAGAAAATAGATGTCAACAGTGTAAGTGGGAGAACCAAGCCCCTGACTAGCAACAGTGGCAGGGCTTCAGTTCCCAAGGCAGCTGAAGTCTGGCCAGCACAGTGCTGCAATGGGCTGTGGCTCAGCAGAAGGGCAGGAGCCCTCCATGCCTGGCTTACAACAACAGGACTCAATAGTCAGGGACAGGCGGCCATCCCGGATGGGGTGGGAGCAAGGACTGTACATCCTGACAAGGATCACCACCCACACGGTCAGAGCAGAACCCCCAGGGACTCTCTGGGCCTCTACGTGCCTCCCAGGCACCGACTGTGCAGCTGCTTGGTACCCCGGGAATAAAAACTAACTGAGCAGAGCAGCTGATGCCTCGGCAGGGCCCCTCATTAGGGGAGGACGGTGCTGGTGGGGCCTGGGGGCCCCACGCTCCCAGTGAAGACAACCTGTCAGGAAGAACTCATTCTGGAACCTCCCGGAGGTTTGCTGAGAAGGAAATTAATCACTTCGTAACTTGATGCAGCTTAAGGCTTCATTTCTAAGCTGTAAGCATGGCCTTTAACTAAGATATCCACAATATTCAATTCCAAATTAGAGTTTTAGCCCTGCAAGAGTCTAACCATCTCCCTCTGCCTGAGCCAGGGGCCGTCACCTACCAATGGACAGGAAACTGCCACCAGCCTCTGGGGCTGCATCCTACTGCCCGGGCTGTCCACTGTGACCTTTCCGTGGAGAGAGGTGTTGTCCCATGATTTTGCTGTTGCCAAGGCCGTCCAGAGGCTCTGCGGGTGGGAGCTCAGTGCTGCTGTTCTGGAATCCTCCCGTCTCCCAGGTGCCCTGGCCCTTGGAGGGGCTGCTGCTTCCCGGCCTAGTTTCCAGTGGATCTTTTTCCTGAGCCAAAGAGATAGGCTGTTACCTTATACTCAACATTTCAAGGGAACACACCCCTGTGGGGAGCGTCTGTTAATCCCTGGAAAGCAGCTGTGCCAAGAGAGGGGCGAGAACCCCACTTGCTGAGATGAGCATAATAAACCAAAGTGGGTCCCAAGATGACACGGCGAGCAAGCGCTACCCCTGGAGCAGCCCCCAGGCTTGCACAGCCCTGCGCTGTCCACGCAGGAGGGCAGCTTCCAAGCAGGCAGGACGTGAGGAGATCTGAGTTCTAGGCCTGGCTCTGCCTGACTCGCCCTCTGTGACCATGGGCAAGCCGGACCCACCACTGCAGGGGGGCTGTACAACAGCCCCAGCATCGCCACCTCCCCAGGAAGAAGACACAGCCAGAGGCTGGCCGCGGCAGCCCAGCCAGTCCTGCACTACAGGCTGATTGCCACGTCATCTATTCCCTAGGCTGAGAGGCCAGCTCCTAGTGGAGCTAGGTTTACCACACCTTGGACTGGCACCTGTTCCAACTCCTGGGGGTGGGGGCACAATATTGGTTAAAGTGGGAGAAAACCAGGATTAGTTCACAGAGGAAAACAAAGGGAAAAAAAACCTCCAGGGTTTTCCTACCTCGGCTGGGATATCATGAGGTAAACATTTTCTTAAGTTTGGAAAGGAATCCCTCCTCGTCCTCCCCAGCCTCACGCCTAGCCTTGCTTCCTGCGGAGCTATCCATGGTGCTGCCACCTGGGCACAAACAGCAGAAAGAACTGGCGTCATGGGCCTGCACTTCCACAGTCACATCCCAGGGCCCACCTACCCCCGCCTGGCCACCCAGGGGCCCACGTTCAAGAAGCGGCCAAGTGCCACCTCAAGAAGAGTGGGGGCCACTCCTAAGATGGCACAGGATGCCTCACCTTGCAGACGACTGAGGTGAACAGGCCACTCAGAGCCTGAGGGTCTCCCAACTGCTCTTTCAATCAAGGACCCACAGCAGGGAAACAAGAAATAGAGACGGACTATGACAGCTGTCTCTATCTGAGCAACAGTGACAAAAACACAGTCAAGTGCCAGGCACCTCCCAGGCCAGGCCATACACTTCCTTACAGGCAAATTTCACAGATGAAAAAACAAAAAAAGGAGGCACAGAGAGGTTACAGGGTTTACCCAAGGCCACAGAGCCAACAAGCGGGAGGGAGGACTGAGTGCGAGCCCATGCAGTCTGACTCCAAAGCTGAGACTCAACCACCATGCTGTTGGCTATAAGAAGGTAAATAATGACTGCCAAGAAAAACCCTACTCTAGACCAACTGGCCAGATTCCATGCTGCTGTGTGCGCAAAGACCCTGCAGAACAGCCCATGTGGGAGTCACGGCCACGCACAATCCTTTGTCACAGGCACTCCATCTCATCCCTCACATCAGCAGTCTATCTCCCTGAGCAAGTTGTCCCCATTTGGGGCACCTAACCTAAATGCTCTCAACCTAGGGAAGCTGTGCTGCAATTTCTTTAGGGCCCAGGCTGACACCATCTAGAGGTACTTTCTCACACAAACGTGTTACAGATTTGCCAACTACTAGACAAGGAGTGCACACTTTTGTTGTGAGTTAGAATATAGACCTGAACTTGGCATGTTAATTGTAGAGCTCATTTTTAATGTGCTCAGAGACCTAGGCCACGCACAGTGCATAAAAGAGTAAAGGCCTCAGTCTAAGTAAGAAGGTGCCTTCGCTAGTGAAAGGTCCAAAGTTTGGGGCCACAGGTCCCCGGGAAGGGGTGAGGGAGGCTACATAAAACAGAGTGAGACCCAGTCTCAAAAAAGAAAAGGCCGGGCACAGTGGCTCACGCCTGTAATCCCCGCACTTTGGGAGGCCAAGGCAGGCGGATTGCCTGAGCTCAGGAGTTCGAGACCGGCCTCGAACATGGTGAAACCCATCTCTACTAAAATACAAAAAATTAGCCAGGGGCGGCATGCACCTGTAGTCCCAGCTACTCGGGAGGCTGAGGCAGAATTGGTTGAACCCAAGAGGCAGAGTGCGTTGCAGTGAGCCGAGATCACGCCACTGCACTCCGGCCCGGGTGACAGAGTGAGACTCCGTCTCCAAAAAAAGAAAAAAAAAAAAAGAACAACAAGGAGCCATACTGTGTCTCTCACTCAAAAAGTCACATAGTAATTGCAAGCCCCCCCAGTTCCCTCTCTGTTCGCCAGAAGATGGACCTGTTTATCCCTGCAAGTGCTGAGTCTCTAAGCACACCATGGTCTTTCTGGGAGACCGGGGTCAGCTCTTAAGGTTTTCAGCAGCTACATTAAGATACTAAACGCATCAAAAACTATGCTGGTCAGGCACAGTGGCTCATGTCTGTAATTCCAACACTCTGGGAGGCCAAGGTGGGAGGATCACTTGAGTCCAGGAGTTTGAGGCTGCCGTGAGCTATGACTGCACCACTGCACTCCAGGCTGGGCCACAGAGCAAGACTCTGCCTCAAATAAATAAATAAATCCCACTGTTGCTTAAGTTCTTAGGACATGAGAATTATATGTCCTGTAATACTGTCATATGTGGATGCAAAACTAACTGTCTTCACAGTATAATGAGAGACTTAACCACCCACAGGCAGCAGACTGACATGTGACGGTGTATGCTTAGGGACAGAGTCTTGCCCTGGCACCCAGGCTGGAGTACAGTGTCGCTGTCATGACTCACCGCAGCCTTGAGTACTAAGGCTCAAGTGATCTTCTCATCTCAGCTTCCCAAGTAGCTGGTGATAGAGGTGCATACTACTTTGCACCTGGCTAGTTTTGAAATTTTTTGTAGAGACAGAGTCTCGCTATATTGCCCAGGCTGGTCTCGAACTCCTGGGTTCAAGTGATCTTCCTGCATTAGCCGCCCAAAGTGCTGGGATTATAGGTGTGAGCCGCTGCATCCGGCCTCACCAAGATCTTTAAAAGGAAGAGCTGACAGTGTCTTGCACACAGGAGAAGACATCCTGGCTGAGTGAGGGAACAGCTGAGTGAGGCTGAGTGATCAGGACAAGTAACCATGGAAGTGACAAAGGATCTCAGTGGGTGGCGGAATCAACTTTCAACTTACAGTATCAGAGAGAGGGTCAAAACATCAACTGGTGACCAGTAATACCCAACCTCCAACAGAGTAAGCAACACCCACGAACCCACCCAGGGCCCGGCCGTAGCACACCTCAAGCTACCCTGATGGGCGGGAGGAGGGAAGGACAGCTGTCTATGGAACCAATCTCGCATGTTATGTGATTGTAGGGTTTGAGGAAGGAGAAGCCACAGGTGCACTGATTAGAGTTCCGGGGAATAGCTACTCTATTACCACTTCTATTTTAGTTCAAGAGATACAACAAGAACAAAAGATAGTATACATATACACAGTATATGTACCAAACCATTAAAATAAGTGACATTTGGAACCTGGTTGGGCTACAGAGTTTTGTGGCAGCTGCTTTTTTGTTGTTGTTTTTTTGAGACAGAGTCTCGCTATGTCACCCAGGCTGTAGTGCAGTGGTGCAATCTTGGCTCACTGCACCCTCTGCCTCCTGGATTCAAGCAATTATCCTGCCTCAGCCTCCAGAGTAGCTGGGATTATGGATGCCCACCACCATGCCCCGCTAGTTTTTGTATTTTTTTTTTTTTTTTAGTAGAGACAGGGTTTCACCATGTTGGTCAGGCTGGTCTCAAACTCCTGACCTCGTGATCCACCCTCCTCGGCGTCCCAAAGTGCTAGGATTACAGGCGTGAGCCACCGCGCCAGGCCCTTTTTTTTTTTTTTTTTTTTTTTTTCAGAGAGTCTCACTGTCACCCAAGCTGGAGTGCAGTGGTGTGGTCTTGGCTCACTGCATCCTCTGCCTCCTGGGTTCAAGCGATTCTCCTGCCTCAGCGTCCTGAGTAGCTGAGATTACAGGCATGCACCACCATACCCAGCTAATTTTTGTATTTTTAGTAGGGATGGGGTTTCGCCATGCTGTCCAGGCTGGTCTCAAACTCCTGACTTCAAGTGATCCACCTGCCCCTGCCTCCCAAAGTGCTGGGATTACAGGCAAGAGCCACTGCGCCCGGCCGGCAGCTGCTTTTTAACAGAGGAATTCCAGTCCCCTGGGAGCAACAGGAGCTCAGTGAAATTCCAGGGACTTCCATCCCAGCCCCTGCCCCTGCCCCTGGAGCTCCAAATCCTCCACTTTATTGGAAAATCGGCCCCCAGCTCCAAACACCTGCTACGAATTACCATGCACTAATCTAAGGCTGCTCAAGTTCTGAGAACTCCACCCAGGATCCAAACAAAAACAAAATGATGCAATGAGGAGGAAATACATGCCGCCTGAACCAAGGACCCCTGGGCACAGCCTGCCCTGCCCTGAGCCAGGAGTCCCAGGAAAGAGGCCCCAGACCCCATGGGAAGAGGGGCTGCAGCTGGGGTGCCATTGTCTCAGCGCCCACAGCAGGTGTTCTGGTGACAGATCCCTAACACAGCCACTCGCTAGCACGATGTCTGAGCTCAGGGTAAATGGTGCATCTGTTCACGGCTAGATAACTTGGAGGGAGTCCTGCTCTAAAGCGGCGGACGGAGTCTGCTGACTGCGGCTCCACTGCTGTGGCTGCTGTTGTTTTAAGACACTCTGAAATCCTGGCGGAGTGTCCCAGGTGGGAAGTGCACAAATCCTTCCAATCCATGCTCTCTCCTTACGCTTTTGCCAGGAGCTCTCAGGGAAGGATTTGTCCGAGGTCACAGGGCAAGTGGCAGAACCAAGAATAGAACTCAGAACACTGGGTCTGAGACACGCAGAGCTGCCTGCAGGAAGTGCCCTGGTGCTCTCACCTCAGCACAGAAACACACACAGAGAGAGGAGGCGAAGCTTGGACTGGGGGCTGCGGCTCCCTGCCCGCTGTCCCCGCCCACAGCCCCCCTCTTTCAACTGCACATTTTAAAGGCTTCATGAAGAACCCGAAGTGGAAACCCCAACATGCTGCCCTGAATTGTCCATACCCTGGGGGGCTCTGAGGCCCCCACGTGTCACCATGTAGTCTTCAGACTCCTTACCAGAGCTGGTGAGGGTGACGCCGTTCACCGTCCCCTCCACATCTGTCTCGTCCTCGGCGTAGCTCAGGATCAGGCTCTGCTGCCGGCTCGTTAGCCTCCTGTGGACCGAGCAGAGTCAGCAGCCAAGGCTTCCGCCGGGAAGCTTTGGAAAGAACTCACAGGCAGCCAGCACCCTCGCAGCACATGGGAAGAGAGGGACCCAACCTTGGCAGGGGCGGACACCCTGAGCCAGTGCAGCGGTGAGAACCTAAGGACCATGCCCTCAAAGCTTCTGTACAGAAAAGCTCCTAAAACACCCTACACTAAGTCATTTAAACAAGTGTCACTGTGGCTATGCTAAATACAGTTTACAGGAGGGGAAACAGATTTTACCAGTGTGTATGTGAAGCAAGTAAGAAATTATCTAATTAGGCCAGGCGCAGTGGCTCATGCCTGTAATCCCAGCATTTTGGGAGGCCAAGGTGGGCGGATCACAAGGTCAGGAGATAGAGACCATCCTGGCCAACAAGGTGAAACCCCGTCTCTACTGAAAATACAAAAATTAGCTGGGCGTGGCGGCACATGCCTATAGTCCCAGCTACTTGGGAGGCTGAGGCAGGAGAATTGCTTAAATCTGGGAGGTGGAGATTGCACCACTGAACTCCACCTAGAGACAGAGCTAGACACCATCTCAAAAAAAAAAAAAGAAATTATCTAATTAACAAAAAGCATGAGTGCTCCCGAGGGGAGTCAGGCATGTCCCGCCCTAGGTACCCACAGCACTCTGCCCAGGCCACCTCTCCAGCTCCTAACAGTGCTAGTAACATCAACAAGAAAAGCAACGGGCCAGGCGTGCTGGCTCACACCTGTAATCCCACCACTTTGGGAAGTCAAGGTGGGCAGATCACCTGAGGTCAGGAGTTCGAGATTAGCCTGGCCAGTGAAACTCCGTCTCTACTAAAAATACAAAAATTAGCTGGGCGTGGTGGTAAGCGCCTGTAGTCCCAGCTACTCGGGAGGCTGAGGCAGGAGAATCATTTGAACTGGGGAGGAGGAGGTTGCAGTGAGCTGAAATGGCACCACCACATTCCAGCCTGGGCAACACAGTGACAGATTCCTTCTCAAAAAAAAAAGAAGAAAATCAACAATAGCAGCAGCAGCAAAGCAATTCCTATGTGTTGTTCATTTAATTCTCCCAACAACTCCAAGAAGTCGACCATTCTGGCCGGGCATGGTGGCTCACGCCTGTAATCCCAACACTTTGGGAGGCCAAGGTGGGTGGATCACTAGGTCAGGAGATTGAGGCCACTCTGGCTAACACGGTGAAACCCCATCTCTACTAAAAATACAAAAAATTAGCCGGGCATGGTGGCAGGCACCTGTAATCCCAGCTACTCGGGAGGCTGAGGCAGGAGAATCGCTTGAACCTGGGAAGCGGAGGTTGCAGTGAGCCGAGATGGCGCCACTGCACTCCAGCCTGGGGGACACAGCGAGACTCCATCTCAAAAAAAAAGAAGTTGACCATTCTACTATGTCCACTTTACAGACAGATAACTCGGGCAGGAACCACCTGACTTACAGGGAGCAGTAACCTGCCCAAGCCACAGAGCTCCAAGGGCAGTGCCACCGCAGGACCAGGCGGGCTTGGCCACAGCCTAGGGGGCACTTACTTTGGAACTCGTATCTTGATGTGGATGTAGTGGTCTCCGTAGCCGTAGCTGTTAATCCGGGGGATGCCTTTCCCACCCATCCGAATCTTCTGGTCTGTCTGAGTCCCAGGGGGGATCTATAAAGAAAGAAAATCTGTGGTTTCCCCTGGTCCCCAGTTGCTCAAATAAAAAGTTTTCACTACATGAAGACAATCTTGATAGGAATTCCTTGAAAAGAACTACCACTGGCTCACGCTCCCATCACTTTGGGAGGTCGAGGCAGGCTGATCACGAGGTCAGGAGTTCAAGACCTGCCTGGCCAACATGATGAAACCCCGTCTCTACTAAAAATACAAAAATCAGCAGGGCATGGTAACGTGCACCTGTAATCTCAGCTACTCAGGAGGCTGAGGTAGGAGAATTGCTTGAACCCGGGAGGCGGAGGTTGCAGTGAGCCAAGATTGTGCCATTGCACTCCAGCTCTGGCTGACAGAGCAAGACTCTGTCTCGGCAGAGCGGTGGTGGAGGGGGTGGGTAAAAAAAAAGGCCGGGCGCAGTGGCTCATGCCTGTAATCCCAGCACTTTGGGGGGCTGAGGCAGGCAGATCACGAGGTCAGGTGATTGAGACCTTCCTGGCCAACATGGTGAAACCCCATCGCTACTAAAATACAAAAAATTAGCCAGGCATGGTGGCGCGTGCTTGTAGGCCCAGGTACTCAGGAGGCTGAGGTGGGAATCGCTTGAACCTGGGAGGCGGAGATTGCCACGAGCCAAGATCGCGCTACTGCACTCCAGCCTGGCGACAGAGCAAGACTCTGTCTCAAAAAAAAAAAAAAAAAAAAAAAAGAACTGCCACTGGGCTGGGCGCAGTGGCTCACGCCTTTTAATCCCAGCACTTTGGGAGGCCGAGGCGGGTGAACTGCCTGAGATCAGGAGTTGAAGACCAGCCTGGGAAATACGGTGAAACCCTGTCTCTACTAAAATACAAAAAATTAGCCAGGTGTGGTGGCGTGCACCTGACGACAAAGCGAGACTCCATCTCAAAAAAAAAAAAAGAACCACCACTTGGGTTTCTGGGCCAAGCCCGCCCACAAGCACATGGAAATGAGCTAAGTTGGGTCTGCCCAGAGCAGAGCCTGTGACTAGGATGAGGGGGCAAGAGTTTGGGCAAGTGAGCCCAGGAAGCAGGAGTGAGGGAGCAAAGCAGGAAAAGCCAATACAGGGTGCGTGGCTGAGGTCGCTCCCTGGCCCTTGGAACCACAGGACCCTGGAGAAGCCAGGGAATAGCCCCCAGATGGAGGAGAAAGCCTTGGCCCAAAATGCCCACCTCCTTCATGGAGGTTACCCCAAGGTTCCCCACAAAGAAGCTGGAGAAGGTTCTGAGGCGAATACAGAGAATGATGTGGCCTGGAGGTGGGAAGAGCTGGAGGGGCAGGTCAAGAGAGAGGTGGGGGACAGGTGCTGGCAGCACACAGGCAGCCATCACTGTGGCAAAAGGGATATGCACCGCCCGAGTCTTCTGCTCTTGGAGCCAGACACTGGACAGAAGCAAGTGCAGAGAGCACAACCCAGGGTGAACCCTTCTGTGTCCTGAATGCGCCCAGTTCCCAGGCCCCGCTAACCAGTGTGGGAGTGATGCCAGCCAGGAACTGCTTCCCATGCGATTATAGACTCAAGGCCTGTGGCTTGTGGTCCACACTCAAGGAGCAGCCTAAAATTCCTCATGTCCTCCCCTGTGAGTGCCCCCCCACATGCTGGTCACTCATGGGTTCCAGGCCACTGGTCAGTTCTTTTCCATTTCAGAAAAAGAGCAATAAAGTACAGGGGTGACAAAGGTGTTCTCACACCCTCTTACCGTCACGTTGATCGTCTCGTACAGGCCCTGGGCTCTGGCTGTACCCCCAAGAAGAGCCTGAGCTATAGAAATAAAGAGGTCGGAGTGGATGTCTGCGCCGTCCCTCCGGAACACAGGGCTTTTCTGCACCTAAGGCCAAACATGACAGATGCATGTGAAGATAAGTCCACTGCAGACTAAACACCAGCTGCATGCCTGGCCAGGCCCAAGCTCAGACCTGACAAACTACACACCCCTTCCATACATAAAGTGCAGTGTTGAGGGAAAGAACTGTCCTTCCAACAAGGAGACACCATCCCAGGCCCAGGAATGACATGTTCTACATATTTCAACACTGCAATGTTCTACACACTTGAAATGCCGAAATGGAAGCGTGCCTGGATTTCCTCAGTCTCAGATCAAGCCATTCAATCGTGAAGGGAAACAAAAATGTAAAACTGGCTTTTGATTTTTTTTTTTTAATCTTACTTTAGCCAGGCACAGTGGCACACACCTGTAATCCCAGCACTTTGGGAGGCCAAGGTGAGTGGATCACCTGAGGTCAGGAGTTTGAGACCAGACTGACCAACATGGTGAAACCTTGTCTCTACTAAAAATACAAAAATTAACCAGGTGTGGTGGCGGGCCCCTGTAATCCCAGCTACTCAGGAGGCTGAGGCAGAAGATCCACTTGAACCTGGGAGATGAAGTTTGCACTGAACAGAGATCACACCACTGCACTCCAGCCTGAGCAACAGAGCGAGACTCCACCTCAAAAAAAAAAAAAAAAAAATCTTACTTTATTAGAAAGTATAGGCCAGCCGTGGTGGCTCACGCTTGTAATCCCAGCACTTTGGAAGGCTAAGGTGGGTGGATCACCTGAGGTCAGGAATTCGAGACCAGCCTGCCAACATGGTGAAACCCCATCTCTACTAAAAATACAAAAATTACCTGGGTGTAGTGGCGCATGCCTGTAGTCCCAGCTACTCAGGAGGCTGAGGCAAGAGAATCGCTTGAACCTGGGAGGTGGAGGTTGCAGTGAGCTGAGATCATGCCACTGCACTCCAGACTGGGCAACAGAGCAAGACTCTCTTTCCAGAAAAAAAAAAGAAAAAAAAGGGAAGAGTAAATAATATAACAAGCATGTCATACCCACAACCCAGTGGAGGTAACAAAATATCACAGGCCGGGCGCAGTGGCTCATACCTGTAATCCCAGCACTTTGGGAGGCCAAGGTGGGTGGATCATTTGAGCCCTGGGGTTTGAGACCACCCTGGGCAACATGGTGAAACCTCATCTTTACTAAAGATACAAAAGTCAGCCGGGCCTGGTGGCGTGTGCCTGTAGTCCCAGCTACTCAGGAGGCTGAGGTGGGAGGATCACCTGAGCCCAGGGAGTCTGAGGCTACAGTGAGCCAAGACTGCCCCACTGCATTTCATCCTAGGCAACAAAGCAATACCCCACCTCAAAAAATAAAGTAAAATAAAATAAAACATCATAAACACCGGTGAGTCTTGCCCTCCTCAGCTAACCACAACCCTGACTTTAACATTTATCATTCCTACAAGCTTCTACTTACTATGTATTTCCGTGTCCCTAAATAATACATAATGCCATCTCACAGGTTTTAAAACTTTACACAGATGGTCTCTGAGGCCCTACAGCCACTGGCAAGCTGCCTTCCATCCCTGCTGTCTGTACCTGCAACGCCTGGAGCATCCCTTGAGTTCAGCTCTCATTCTTTCCTTCCGACTGCCCTGCAGCAGCCTCTGACCACCACGGCTCACTGAGCCATTCTCTTGTTGGAGGAAGGCAGTGTCTTGCTACCATGGACAGGACTCTTGTGCACCCCTTTGTACCTATCGCCTGCTAGGCTTGTGTGGGTTTTTCTCAGGTGTACACATAGGAGGGCAATTGCCAGTAGAAGGCATTGTCTTCATTAATGTTTCCACCATCTCAGAAAACCAAGGTTTGCCCCTGTATACAGTATGTAAAATTGTAACTTTCACACTCACTGCCTCATCAACAATCTTATCATAAAAACACAAGATGTTTCCTGTATTTTTATGTGACCTGTATTTCTAACTTGTTAGCATGTTGAAGAAGTTGTCTTCTCTCCACACAAGGCACAGAATCTTGAAGGTAACAAACAGCTAAAAACCACATCTAGGTGGCCACTGTGCCCCTCAGAAACATGAATGGCGAGACATGTTCCTGTGAAGCTTTGATTACATGGGAGCAGCCTCAGCCACACCCACCCGAAGAGAGGAAAGGCCCAACAGAAGCTGTGCGGGGCAGGGCACCTACCCTGAACGTAATGAAAATTTCCCTTTTTCCCACAGGCATCCTCACGGTCTGGCCATCCTCGACTCCTACAAGGGACATTAGAAAGGGAGAAGTTAGGCAGGACGCGGTGGCTCACGCCTGTAATCCCAGCACTTTGGGAGGCCGAGGCGGGCAGATCATGACGTCAAGAGATCGAGACCATCCTGGCCAACATGGTGAAACCTGGTCTCTACTAAAAATTAACTGGGCGTGGTGGCACACGCCTGTAGTCCCAGCTACTCAGGAGGCTGAGGAAAGAGAATCGCTTGAACCCAGGAGGCGGAGGTTGCAGTGAGCCGAGATCACTCCACTACACGCCAGCCTGGCAACAGAGCGAGACTCCGTCTTAAAAAAAAAAAAAAAAAGAAAAGAAAAAGAAAAAAAAGAAAGGGAGCAGTTATTGTGAGACCTCCCACAGCACTTTCCACCCAAGATCCACTTGTAACCCACAGCTTCTTCCCCACTCCTGTTTCTTATTAACGAGGAACAATGTCATTATCTAAGAGGCACATGGGTAACCTTCCAGAGATGCAACACAGACACCTGATGACTGAGCACCTGCCTCAGGCTTGGTCTAGGCAGTACCTCAGGGAGTTCATGGTCTCACTGGGGTGATGGGTGTTAACCAAACGATAGCACTAATGCATAACTACAAACAGAGACATGCTCTTCAATGGAAATGCTCACAACTCTAGAGAAACAGACATCTAAACAACAGTAAAGCAGGCCACGCGCGGTGGCTCATGACTATAATCTCAGCACTTTGGGAAGCCGAGGCGGGTGGATCACGAGGTCAGGAGATCGAGACCATCCTGGCTAACACGATGAAACCCCGTCTCTACTAAAAATACAAAAAATTAGCTGGGTGTGGTGGCAGGTGCCTGTAGTCCCAGCTCCTTGGGAGGCTGAGGCAGGAGAATGGCATGAGCCTGGGAGGCAGAGCTTGCAGTGGGCCGAGATCGGGCCACTGCGCTCCAGCCTGGGTGACAGAGCGAGACTCCGTCTCAAAAAAGAAAAAAAAAAGAACAGGGAGGAGGGTGTGAGGCTAGCTAGGGAAGGGATACTCAAGCTGGGATCTCCAAGATGAATAAAGTTAACCGAAAAAAGAAAGCAGAAAGTGAGTTTTGGGCAAGGGAACAGTAGACATGGAGTGAGGGGTGGGATCCGTGGGGCTGATGTAGATAGGGTGGCAGCAGGGACAATGATGGCTTCGGTGACTAAGACAGGGGAGAGAGGAGAGGAGCCCGGGGGTTGGAAGCTGCTCCCTCACCAGGAAGAAGCAGAGTAGGCACGTCAGGTCTCTTCTCCCCATTGTGACATGCAAAGTGTAAATTTTAAGGATAACTGGCAGAAACAGAAAGATTCAAGGAGACTCCAGTTCCTCCTCCAGCCTGGGGCTCCAGGGCCTCAACCATAACTTCTACCAAGAGCCCACTCACACTCAGTGCAGTGGCCTCGGCCCTGTCCACCCTCTCCACACGGTGTGGTAGCCTCAACCCTGTCTGCCCTCTCCAAGCTCCTGGACATGGCGGGCCCAAGCACCCACCTGCAGGCACAGGGATCATCACTCGCTTTTTCTGCTTGGCTTGTCCTGCTCCCCTGCAGACCACACAGGGCGATATGATGATGGAGCCGCGGCCACCACATCTCCTACACGTGGAACGCATCACAAAAGGGCCTGTGTTGATGGTTTCCTGATAAAAACAAGAAAAATGGTAACCTAAGTACGCAGGTAAACTGATGGGTGGTTCTGGGACCACAATGTGCGTAAGAAAAATGTCTCTTTAAGGCTTGTTTTTTATGTGCATGTGCACTCAAACACACTGCCTAGGAACCCAGGTGCAGGGCCTCAATCTGTTCATCTGATTTTCTAGAACACACAAACTTCTGCACTCCAGATCATCAACTTGACCACACGACACTGAAAAATATGATACCGCCTGTCTACAGAAGTACCTGAAGACTCCTGGGAGCTGAACAGTACATTTAAAAAAGATTATTTCCCCTTGAATTACCAAAGCAATTGTTAGAAAAATAAAGAAGAAAGTGACAACTGGATGCAATCCCCCGCCCCGCCCCCGGAGCTGCTGTGCTCTGGTTGCTGAGCCTGTGGTATCAGGGAAAGAGGAGCACAGGCTCGTCTCCTCAGGGTCACGGGGGAAAGACAGCCAGGCTGAGTTCACCAACTCCCCCAATTCCCAGCATACGTTCTCTGGGAGCAGTGCCACAACCAGCTCTTCTCAGTCAGTGGTGCAAGCCGTGGGAGGTGGAGTCTCGGGCAGAGCCTTACCATGCCGGAGCCGCCACAGTAGTGGCAATGCTGCACCTTGGTGCCGGGCTCGTTCCCCTTGCCGTTGCAGCGCTCACACGTGTCCATGATGTTCACGGTGAACTCCTTGTTGACCCCCTTTGCAGCTTGATTGAATGTCAACTCCATGAAGTACTAAAGAAACCAAGGGACAGCCTGTCAACTTTTGTTTGCAACGACCAAAACTGACGCTCGGCTCTAAAGGGAAAGGAGGGTACTGGCCCACATTTTCAGTCACTCTTTCACCACTGTACTTACTTGCACTCTGCCAAGTAAGCATAGGTAGGACTCACTGAACGAATTCTGCCCTACTCTTTGGGATTTTTAAGAGATAATGTATGACTTAAATGAAAACGTACTTTCAACAGACTGAAAATGTTCACAGATAAATACTCGTACATGGCACTTAAAAACAGCCTGAATGATCCACAATCATAATTTAGATCATAAATATATCCCCTCTCTCTTCCACTCTGACAGTGTCTTATAAGGACATAAATGAGAGAGGATCAGCAGTGCCTTCCCACCGGACAGAACTCTCCTGGAATACTGTAGCAGATGAGAGACAACACTCACACCCTCATGGGCTCTGAAAGCCTTAGGTGCTACCTCATTATGCAACTGTTAAGAATACCATCAGAATGGACATACTCATTACTACCTATGCGATTTTTCAAATACTGAAATTATTTTCTACTAAAATGGCTGCCTCCAGATCACTCCATTTAAGCTGCCTTGCCTTTCTGAGAAACAGAAACTGATAAAAAAATTTGTTTGACCCATACTTAGTCTAAAATTTGAATAATTCTTCCAAGTGAGGAACTTACTTCCTGAGGCTGATCAAACACGGTCTGGAAATCTCCAAATGAAGAGGATGAGAACTCGCCAAAGATCTTCCTGAACAGCTCCTCGGGGTCCACAGTGGGGCCTCCCTTCCAGTAGCTATGCTGGGAGCCGCTGGCCCCAGGATCGAAGCCTGCAGAGCCGTAGGCATCGTACTGCTTCCTCTTCACCTCATCACTCAAAACCTACAGTGAAAGGCAGAGCCACTGGGCATCCCAGGTCTACCAAGGCCCAGGAATACAGACAAGAGTTCACAGCAAATAAGGCAGCCATAACATTTATTAAGTGGCCCTGTGTGCAAACACATCCTATGAGGTTGGGGTGGGCCTGTGACTAGCACCTAGAAGAGGGATGAGATGACCAAACTGAATGCTAAGTGTAGGGCGTGAAGTGCTTCCAAAAGTCTCACGAACTCTCCCGCCGTCGCGCATGCTGGGAAAATGTTTGTGTTGATCCTCGCTTGACCTCACAGGCACCCTGGATTCTTCACAGATTCACACTTCACCTCTCTCCTCAGGGGACATTACCTCGTAGAGAATTTATGCTTCCTACCCTTACCTTCATCGAAAGGTTTTCTGCAAGCCAGAACAACCGGAGTAACAGAAGTAACAGCAACGACAATAGCAGTGGTGCAATCCTAGCTCACTGCAGCCTCAACCTCCCAGGTTGAAGCAATCCTCCTGCCTCAGCCTCCACAGTAGCTGGGTCTACAGGTGCACACCACCAGTCCTGGCAAATTGTTTTAAGTTTTTGTAGAGACAGGGTCTTGCTATGTTGCCCAGGCTGCTTTCAAACTCCTGGCCTCAAGCGATCCTCCCACTTCGACCTCCCAAAATACTGGGATTACAGGCATGAGCCACTGGGCCTGGCCCACAAAACTGTTAATAAGGACTAACTACCTCAAAAAGGGGGATTAGGGAGGGACAAGGAAAAATGTAGTATTCACTTTGTATCTTTTTTTTTTTTTTTGAGACGGGAGTCTTGCTCTGTCGCCAGGCTGGAGTGCAGTGGCGCGATCTCGGCTCACTGCAACCTCTGCCTCTCGGGTTCAAGTGATTCTCCTGCCTCAGCCTCCCGAGTAGTTGGGACTAAAGACATGCACCACCACGCCCAGCTAATTTTTTTGTATTTTTAGTAGAGACAGGGTTTCACCACGTTTGCCAGGATGGTCTCGATCTCTTGACCTCGTGATCCGTCTGCCTCAGCCTCCCAAAGTGCTGGGATTACAAGCGTGAGCCACCGTGCCTGGCCCTCACTTTGTATCTTTTTTTTATGTGTTTGTCTTACTTTTTTTTTCTTTAATTAAAAAGACACTGCCCTAGGCTGAGTATGGTGGCTCACACCTGTAATCCCAGGACTTTGGGAGGCCAAGGCAGGTGGACTGCTTGAGTTCATGAGTTCAAGACCAGCCTGGGCAACATGGTGAAACCCCATCACAAGAAAAATACAAAAAAATTAACCAAGAATGGTGGTGCACGCCTATAGTTCCAGCTACTTGGGAGGCTGAGGTGGGAGGATTGCTTGAGCACGGAGGTTGAGGTTGAGGCTGCAGTGAACCGTGATTGCACCATTGCACTCCAGCCTGGGCAACAAAGTGAGACACTATCTCAAAAAAATAGGCACTATCCTTAAGGCCAAACAGAAAAGAGTACGCTTCCTCCAAAGGAAAAGACACTTCCACCTAGAATGGAGGGGGACTAAGAAAGCAGGTGGAGGACAGCTTGGTGCCTAGGGTAACTTTTAGGGCACCCAGTTAAGATGCAAAGGAGGAAGGCTGGCAGAGGAGGAGTCAGGTGGGAGTTCATGACTTCCTGGTGGGTTTTATCTCCTGGTTCCAGCCCTTCCCAAGGAATTGCTGCTCTTAGGTTCTGAGGCTCGGTCCGTTTAATAACATCCCCCTTGAAGACAGAAGTCAGCAACACGGTGGATTAGGACTCTCCAAAACTCATGCCCCTGGCAGAAACATCAGATCAACTAACCATGTGGAAAAACACATTCACAAGAATAACACCCCCCCGCCCCATTAAAAATTGAATCTTCTGGGTGCAGTGGGGAACCTGTAGTCCCAGCTACTCAGGAAGTTGAGGTTGAGGCAGGAAAACTGCTTGAGCCCAAGAGTTTGAGACTGCAGTGAGCTGTGATCTCGCCACTACACTCCAGCCTAGGTAACAGAGTGAGACCTCAACTCTTTTTTTTTTTTTTTTGATTGGGAGTCTCGCTCTGTTGCCCAGGCTGGAGTACAATGGCGCAATCTTCGGCTCACTGATGCCTCCCGGGTTCAAGCAATTCTCCTGCCTCAGCCTCCTGAATAGCTGGGATTACAGGCACCCACCACCACACCTGGCTAATTTTTGTATTTTTAGTAGAGATGGGGTTTCACCATATTGCTCAGGCTGGTCTCTTGGCCAGGCTGGTCTCAAACTCCTGACCTCCTGATCTGCCTGTCTTGGCCTCCCAAAGTGCTGGGATTATAGGGATTATAGACGTAAGCCACTGCACCTGGCTGAGACCTCAACTCTTGAAAAAAAAAAAAAAATTAATCTTATCTTCCATAGAAGCAGGTTCCAAGACTGTTTAGTTATGTTATCAATTAGTTTGAGTTACCTAATAAGAACATATTATTTTAAAATTACACTAGTAAATAAACTTTTCATTAGATCTAGTTGACAGATATTTACTCAAAAAAGATTTACTGAGTTGAGCCTGTTCTTCTACGTGGCTGTCTACTCTTATAGATATATGAGCTCCTATATATACTGAACCCCTTTAGGATGGCCAAAGTCGGGCAGGTCTGGTGCCTTGCACCTATAATCCTAGCAATTTGAGAGGCTGAGGCAGGAGGATCTCTTCAGCTCAGGAGTTCAAGACCAGCCTGGGCAACATAGAGGGACCCTGTCTCTTAAGCAAAAAAAAAAAAAAAAAAAGAAAAGATTGTCAAAAAATCTGGGAAAAAGGTCTACTTTCAGAAAACTATGGAAGTGGGGTCAATAGCTGTTTTCAGAGATGTATGCTTTGTCCTCTGATTACATTGACATTCTTATAGGACAATAATGGGCTTCTACTTTTACAATAACCTCTATCCCCAAAAAGCAGTGATGCCCTGAGGTGGAGGAAGGGGATGTCATTGAATAAGGGCTGAATTAATTAATCCAACTGTGAATTCCCAAATCCAGCTACAAGTGTAAATTACCTGGGGAACTTTATTAGTACAGATTATTGGATCCTGTTCTTTTTTTTTTTTTTGAGACGGGGTCTTGCTCTGTCGCCCAGGCTGGAGTGCAGTGGCGCAATCTCAGCTCACTGCAAGCTCCGCCTCCCGGGTTCACGCCATTCTCCTGCCTCAGCCTCCCCAGCACCTGGGACTACAGGCGCATGCCGCCATGCCCGGCTAATTTTTTTTTATTTTTAGTAGAGACGGGGTTTCACCGTGTTAGCCGGGATGGTCTCGATCTCCTGACCTGGTGATCCACCTGCCTCGGCCTCCCAAAGTGTTGGGATTACAGGCATGAGCCACCACGCCTGGCCTGGATCCTGTTCTTCATTGAGATTCCAAGTTAGTCTTAGAATGTTGTTGTTTTGTTTTTTTTTTAATTTTTTATTTTTTGAGAGAAGGTCTTTTTCTGTTGCCCAGACCATAGTTCTATGGCACAATCATGGCATCATGGGTCACTGCAGCTTTGAGCCCCTCAAGTGATGAACCTGACTCAGCCTCCCAAGTAGCTGGGTTTACAGGTGCGCCACCACCACGCCTGGTGATTTTTTTTTTTTTTTTTGTAGAGACGTGGTCTTACTACATTGCCCAAGCTGGTCTCAAACTCCTAGGGTCAAGCCAACTCCTGAGGTCAAGTGATCCTCCTGCCTCAGCTTCCCAAAGTGCTAGGACTACAGGAGTGAGCCACCATGCTTGGCCTGGAATCTCTTTTTTTTTATTTTTCTTAACAAGATTACTTGGCGCAGGGACATGGCCTTCACACTGGACTGTATGACACACCAGGCTGTCCCAGGTAGCAATGCAACCTTTGATTCATACACATAGCTGAACAGCAGTGACCGCATGCACCGAAGTCATATTACCTCATAGGCTTCTGCCAGCTGGGAGAACTTCTCCTTGGCTTTGGGATCATCCTTATTTGTGTCAGGGTGATACTTCTTGGCAAGCTAAGGGAAAAACATGATAAATTACTCCAGATACAATGTGAACCCCAAATACCAGAAACAACAAAACCCCCGATACAACAGAACCCCAAATACCAGTCATAATTATGTTCCCTTTATAAAAGTTGTCTCTCGGCTGGGTGCAGTGGCTCACGCCTGTAATCCCAACACTTTGGGAAGTGAAGGCAGGCAGATCACTTAAGCTCAGGAGTTCAACACCAGCCTGGGCAACACAGCGAAACCCCTCTCCACCAAAAATAGAAAAAATTAGTCAGGCGTGGTGGCACATGCCTGTGGTCCCAGCTACTCAGGAGGCTGAAGCACGAGAATCACTTGAACCTGGGAGGTGGAGGTTGCAGTGAGCAGAGATCGAGGCACTGCACTCCAGCCTAGGTGACGGAGTGAGATTCTGTCCGCCCCACAAAATAATAATAATAATGATCTGTTTTAATGTATCCATCTCTTAACTTGAGGGCAGGAACTGATTCTGATGTATCTTTGCCCTTAGCACCCAGCATGGCTTAGAATAGGTAAATGAACAAAAAAGAAAAACAAATTTTTAAAAAGGGGGCCGGGCGCAGTGGCTCATGCCTGTTATCCCAGCACTTTGAGATGCTGAGCTGGGTGGATCACCAGAGGTCAGGAGTTTGAGAACAGCCTGGCCAACATGGCGAAACCCCATCTCTACTAAAAATACAAAAATTAGCCAGGTATGGTCACACGCGCCTATAAACACAGGTACTCGGGAGGCTGAGGCAGGAGAATTGCTTGAGCCCAGGAGACAGAGGTTGCAGTGAGCCAAGACTGCACCACTGCACTCCAGCCTGAGCCACACGGCGAGACTCTGTCTGAAAAAAGAAAAAATTTTTAAAAAGGGAAGAAAATGACTGAATAAATAGACGTCTCTGCTGTTTCAATTATTTTTGTAGGTAAATAAAATACAGTAATTGCTACAGCTTTACCTGATCTTTTTACTTCCGTGCCTAAAAATCTGAATGGTTCTCTAAATTAAGTCTTTCTCTTAAATTATGTCTCTGGGACTTACTAAGGGCCTCAAATCAACTGTCATGTGAGTCCAACCCAGCCTCCATCTTTTCAATCTTTTCCCACTCTTGGATCAGGCACCTGACTCTTGAGCTCAGGAAGAGACAGGCCATTCGCTCTTCACAGGCCAGGATCTCTGCTTCCTGTCCCCATGCCTCTGTTCATTCCATTACAACCCAATTAAAAAAAAAAGACAACCCAGTTAAAAGTGGGCAATGGATCCAAACACACGTTTCTCCAAAGACATACTAATAGCCAACATGCACAAGAAAGATGCTCACCATCATTAGTCATCAGGGAAAAAGCAAATCGAAACTCTAACGAGATAGCATTTCTTATTCACTAGGGTCGTAATTAAAAAGACAGACGATAATAGTTAAGTGTTCACTGGGATGTGGAGAAATCATGGCCCTCATATGCTGCTGGTGGGAATGTAAAATGGTGCAGCTGCTTTGAAAAAGGCTGGCAGCTTCTCAAAAGGTTAAACATCCAGTTACCATATGACTCAGCAACTATACTCCTAAATATCCAAGAGAACTGAAAACATGTCTACACAAAAACTTACATATGAATGTCTATATAGCAGCACTGTTCATGATAGCAAAAAGTGGAAAATATCCAAATGTCCATCAAACGATGAATAAACAAAATGTGATTAATCCATGCAACAGATTATTTGACCATAAAAAGGGATGAAGTATTGACACAAACTATAACACAGATGAACCCTGAAAACATTATGTGAATGAAAGAAGCCAAGACACACAAAAGGATACATATTGTATGATTCCCTGTATATGAATATTGAGAATAGGCAAATCCAAAGAGGCAGGACGCAGATTAGCAGCTGCTAGGGACCGGGGAGAGAGGACAATGGAAGGGGAGTGCTAATGAATACAGAGTTTCTTTTCGAGGTAATGAAAATGTCCTAAAGTTGACTGTGGTGACAGGTGCACAACTCCAGTGAACTGTGCACTTATAAAAAGCTGTCAATCCTACAATGGTGCCTCCAATATTGATTTTATTTTGTTGGTCAGAGCAAACCAAGGGTCTAGGAACCAGTGGTGTAGACATCTCGTATACAACTTTACTCAGCTACCCTAACTACCCTAATAGACCCTGGGATACAATGGGAATTTCACATTTTCCAGGTTAAGAAAGGGCCAGGCGCGGTGGCTCACGCCTGTAATCCCAGCACTTTGGGAGGCTGAGGCAGGTGGATCACCTGAGGTCAGGAGTTTAAGACCAGCCTGACCAACAAAGTGAAACCGCGTCTCTACTAAAAATACAAAAAAAATTAGCCGGGTGTGGTGGCAGGTGCCTATAGTCCCAGCTACTTGGGAGGCGGACACAGGAGAACTGCTTGAACCCAGGAGGCAGAGGTTGCAGTGAGCCAAGATTGCGCCACTGCACTCCAGCCTCAGCAATGGAGTGAGACTCCATCTCAAAAAAAAAAAAAAAAAAAAAAAAAAAAGAAAGGAAAGGAAGTAATTCTAAACCTCTAAACTTTTATCTGGATGCAAAAAATAACTACCTAAAACTTAGACTAGCATATCTACTGATTCAGAAAATACAGATTAAATTTAATTATGAAAACAGCTCTAGAAAAAAAAACTTCTTAAAATCTCTGGTTTGGACTCACCTCTTTTTTCTGAAGCACCAACCTCTACAGCATTGTGCATCGAAAAACAGTCTAGCAAAGTCCAGCTTTATCACACCCTTCTATACTATCAGCTCATGAGACCTATTCATATGGGCACATACGCTGTACTGATCAGGATCACATGGGATCAACAACATTCCTACTACAATTTGGTCACCAAAACCTGACTTCCATACAGACCTGATAATAGGCTTTCTTGATCTCTTTCTGGCTGGCATTTCGAGGCACTCCTAATATCTGATAATAATCTTCTTTGGCCAAAGGGGCACTCGTGTGGAAGGAGGCAGTACAAATGAAAGGGTTATGTTTTGTTCCTAAAAAGGAAAAAACAAAGAAAATCACTCTGGGAATGTTCTCAACAAAAGAAAACTGTGAGTACATGACCCACCAGGCTATATCTGTGAAGGAACAAACAAACTGATAAGGTTTGGCTGTGTCCCCACCCAGATCTCAACTAGAATTTTAGTTCCCATAATCCCCACGTGTCATGGGAGGGACCTGATGGGAGGTAACTGAATCACAGGAGCGGTTACCTCCATGCTGGTCTCGCGATAGTAAGTTCTCATGAGATCTGATAGTTTTATGAGGGGCTCACCCTTTTGCTCATTCTTCCTGCTGCCATGTTAAGAAGGATGTGTTTGCTTCCCCTTCCGCCACGATCGCTGAGGCCTCCCCAGCCGTGCTGAACTGTGAGTTAAATAAACCTCTTTCCTTTAAAATTTACCCAGTCTTAGGTATGTCTTTATTAGCTGCATGAGAACAGACTAATACACAGGCTACAGCTTTAGGGCTGTTCCCTAATGCACTTCAATAATGGCTAAGGAAGCCACAGTATTCAATTAATATTAAACTATGTCAGAGTATTGGATGAGGCTGATTCTCCTCGCTTATACTACTGGAGTGGTCTCAGTAAACCACTAAAGGAATAATACTCCTGACTGGGAGATGATTAAAAAGGGATTCAGCTCCCCCCTCTTATGCCACATGAGCACTTACCATTTGCTAGGTATTTTCATATTTTCATATTTTTCTGTCACATTTAATGCTTAACAACTCCCCACATTCTTTTCCCTCTATCTTGCAGCCTTGGGTATCTACTTAAGGAGCAGTTCTCAAGACTGCGCTCCCTGGACCAACAGCATCATTAGACTGATGAAAACACAGATGTTCAAGCCCTACTCCAGACATTCACCAGAAACTCAGGAGGTCTCCACCCACTAGATGCCAGTAGAGAACTCCCCGTCTCCAGGCATTGCCAAATGTCCCCTGGGAAGTAAAAGTGTCCCCTGCTGAGAACCAATGACAAATCAATCTAAGAAGGTCGGGGAAGAACTTCTAGGCATCAGCTGTTAAGCTGCAGAAACTGGCTAAGCTGCCCAGGAAAGCATTTGCCACTTTCAGTGGAAAACAAATGGCGGTTACTAACTAGGATGACTTTGTACTTTGGATCTGGATTCACAGCACCTTTTTTAATAGCAAGACACCAACTGCTTAAGAAACAAGGATGTTTTAGTTCATCCACTTAACAGATAGGAAGAGCAGGTTTTTTGTTTTTTGAGATGGAGTCTCGCTCTGTCGCCCAGGCTGGAGTGCAGTGGCGCCATCCTGGCTCACTGCAAGCTCCACTTCCCGGGTTCACGCCATTCTCCTGCCTCAGCCTCCCAAGTAGCTGGGACTACGGGCGCCTGCCACCACACTCGGCTAATTTTTTCATATTTTTAGTAGAGACGGGGTTTCGCCGTGTTAGCCAGGATGGTCTCGATCTCCTGACCTCATGATCCGCCTGCCTCGACCTCCCAAAGTGCTGGGATTACCGGCGTGAGCCACCGTGCCCGGCAGGCTTTTTGTTTCTTTGTTTTTTGAGACGGAGTTTCGCTCTTCTTGCCCAGACTGGCGTGCAGTGGTGCGATTTTGGCTCACTGCAACCTCCGCCTGCTGGGTTCAAGCGACTCTCCTGCCTCAGCCTCCCAAGTAACTGGGACTACAGGCGTGTGCCACCACGCCCAGACTGGAGGTGTTTTAATAGATGAAATCTGTTTAAAAAGTGAATAAGCCGGGCCGGGTATGGTGGCTCCTGCCTGTAATCCCAGCACTTTGGGAGGCCAAGGCGGGCGGATCACCTGAGGTCAGGAGTTAGAGACCAGCCTGACCAACATGGAGAAACCCCATCTCTACTAAAAATACAAAATTAGCCGGATGTGGTGGTACATGCCTGTAATCCCAGCTAGTAAGGAGGCTGAAGCAAGAGAATCGCTTGAACCTGGGGGGCAGAGGTTGCAGTGAGCCAAGATCGCGCCATTGCACTCCAGCCTGGGCAACAGGAGTGAAACTCCATCACAGAAAAAAAAAAGAAAAAAAAAAAGAAAGAAAAATAAGCCTGGGCACAGTGGCTCTCGCCTGTAATCCCAGCACTTTGGGAACCTGAGGCGTGAGGATCGCTTGAGCCCAGGAGTTCGAAACCAGCCTGGGCAACACAGAGACCCTGTCTCTATTAAAAATAAATAAATAAATGGATCAAAGACTTGAACTTATATGACATACTAGATGTTTGTAAATAAACTTATGACATGGAAAAAAAAGAGAGAGAGACAGAAATAGGCTAAAGAGGACTTTGAATCCATACAGATTTATACCTATAACTAAACTAGATGGCAGTGGTGGTAGTGGTGGTTAGAGATGATAACGATTAATGGGGCCTAGGAATAGGAAGGGCCTTAGAGCTATGCTAAGGAGTCTGGATTTTATCCTAAGAGCAATAGGGAGCCACTGCAAATGTTAAACAAAGAACCCATTAGGTTTGCATGAGAAACAACTCTAGGCCAGGCAAGGTGGCTCACGCCTATTGTAATCCCAGCACTTTGGGAGGCCGAGGCGGGTGGATCACTTGAGGTCAGGAGTTCGAGACCAAGCTGGCCAACATGGTGAAATCTTGTCTCTACTAAAAATACAAAAATTAGCCGGTCATGGTGGTGCACGCCTGTAATCCCAGCTACTTGGGAGGCTGAGGCATGAGAATTGTTTGAACCTGGGAGGCTGAGGTTGCAGTGAGCCAAGATCGCGCCATTGCACTCCAGCCTGGGCGACAGAGCAAGACTCCACCTGAAAAAAAAAAAAGAGAAACAACTCTAGGAAGCCTGGGAGACTACTCGAAGTTAATCAGCACAAAACACAACCAGAGGTTGGTTGAGCACATCCAAGTAGGAGGCCAGGTAAAGGATGATCAGACAGGAGAATGGATAGGAATGGTCAGGATACTTAAAATTAGAAATAGGAAATAAATCCGTGTGTTTGGCACACCCAATATCCTCGGGATACAAAAAGCACACTGGAAGTAGTAGGGGTCAGGAGACCACTTTGTGTTTCTTCAGTCAGACTTGAGAAAACACTAGACCTGACTTATTATTGAACTTGTACTCAACCCTCTTTTTATTTCGGAGTAAGGGGTTGCCCGGCCCAGTCCAGCCTCTCTCTCACCACTCATTCCAATGCCACAAGGCGGAGGCTGGTAGTGACCTGTGGCAGCTGTGGCTTCAACATTACGGGCAGAGAACACGGACAGGAGTTAGTACAGAGATAGTAACGCACAAAACTGCATGTGGATAAAGACAAATCACGTTTAATTACAAGACTGATGGCTTTGTTTTTTCTTTTTTTGAGACAGAGTCTCACTCTGTCACCCAGGCTGGAGTGCAGTGGTGTGATCTCGGTTCACTGCAACCTCCATCTCCCAGGTTCGAGCGATTCTTCTGCTTTAGCCTCTCAAGTAGCCAGGACTATAGGCGCACACCACCACACCTGGCTAATTTTTGTATTTTTAGTAGGTAAGAAGTTTCACCATGTTGGCCAGGCTGGTCTCGAACTCCTGACCTCAAGTGATCCGCCGGCCTCATCCTACCAAAGTGCTGGGGTTACAGGCATGAGCCACCATCCCCAGTCTGATGACTTTTGACATTATCCATAGGGCATCAATGATTAACAATAATTAGATTTCATTTAATAGACTATTTATTTTATCACATATGACCAGTAAATGTCCTGTCCTTTTTAGAACAACCCAGAATAAAATAAGCCTCCAAGTCGTTCTAAGAATGGCCAACCCACTGTCCAACAACTGCTTTCTTTTTTTTTTTTTTTGACAGGGAGTTTGGCTCTTGTTGCCCAGGCTGGAGGGCAGTGGCGCGATCTCGGCTCACTGCAACCTCTGCCTCCTGGGTTCAAGCGATTCTCCTGTCTCAGCCTCCCGAGTAGCTGGGATTACAGGAACCCGCCACCACGCCTGACCAACTTTTTCTATTTTTAGTAGAGACAAGCTTTGGCCATCTTGGCCAGGCTGGTCTCAAACTCCTGACCTCAGGCGATCAACCCACCTCCCAAAGTAATGGGATTGCAGGCATGAGCCACCATACCTGGCCACCAACAACTGCTTTCTTTCTGCTTGGAAGAAAAGTCACATCTAAAATGTTGTTATGTCATCTTACTACTAGATTTGAGACAAGATCACAGACTAGTGTTTGGACGCTGAGTTAATGACCTTTTCAAAATTTTTTTTTTTAAGAGACAGGGGTCTCATTATGTTGCCTAGGCCAAATTCAAATTCCTGGACTCCAGCAATCCTCCCACCTCAACCTCCTGAGTAGCTAGGACTATAGAGGCTCGCCACCACATGGCTTCTCAGTTGATGACTTTATTAATTTTTTGGTAGAGAAAGAGTCATACTCTGTTGCCCAGGCTGGAGTGCAGTGGCATCATCATGGCTCACTGCAGCCTCAACCTTCTGGGCTCAAGTGAAACTCCCACCTCAGCCTCCCAAGCAGCTGGGAGTACAGGCAGTTGCCACCATAGTTGGCTAATTTTTTTTTTTTTGAGACACAGTTTCGCTCTTGTTGATCAGGCTGGAGTGCAATGGCGCTAACTCGGCTCACGGCAACCTCCGACTTTCACGTTCAAGCAATTCTCCTGCCCCAGCCTCCCGAGTACCCGGGTTTACAGGCATGCGCCACCAGGCCTGGCTAATTTTGTATTTTTTGTAGAGACGGGGTTTCTCCATGTTGATCAGGCTGGTCTCAAACTCCTGACTTCAGGTGATCCGCCCGCATAGGCCTCCCAAAGTGCTGGGATTACAGGCGTGAGCCACCATGTCCGGCCACAGTCAGCTAATTTTTAAAAATCTTTTTGTAGGCCGGGCGCGGTGACTCACACCTGTAATCCCAGCACTTTAGGAGGCTGAGGTGGACAGATCATGGGTAAAGAGATCGAGACCATCCTGGCCAATATGGTGAAATCCAGTATCTGCTAAAAATACAAAAATTAACTGGGAGTGGTGGCACGTGCCTGTAGTCCCAGCTACTCAGGAGACTGAGGCAAGAGGATCACTTGAACCCAGGAAGCGGAGGATGCGGTGAGCCGAGATCACGGTGAGTCAAGATCATGGTGAGCCGAGATCGCACCACTGCACTCCAGCCTGGCTACAGAGCAAGACTCCGTCTCAAACAAACAAACAAAAAAAATCTTGGCCGGGCGCGGTGGCTCACACCTGTAATCCCAGCACTTTGGGAGGCGGAGGCGGGTGGATCACGAGGTCAGGAGATCGAGACGTCCTGGCTAACACAGTGAAACTCCATCTCTACTAAAAATACAAAAAATTAGCTGGGCGCGGTTGCAGGTGCCTGTAGTCCCAGCTACTCGGGAGGCTGAGGCAGGAGAATGGCCTGAACCCGGGAGGCGGAGTTTGCAGTGAGCCGAGATCGTGCCACTGCACTCCAGCCTGGGCGACAGAGTGAGACTCCGTCTCAAAAAAAAAAAAAAAAAAAAAAAATCTTTTTGTAGAGATGGGATCTGCCTATGTTGCCCAGGCTGGTCCCAAACTGCTAGGCTCATGTGATCCTCCTGCCTCAGCGCCAGCATAGCGCTGGAATTACAGTCGTGAGCCACCCCGCCCAACCAGTTGATGACTCTATCTGTGAAAACAGCACGTACCCTGAAGGATGCCACCTCTCACCTGTGTACACTACCTGATATAAAACTTGCCCATGGCAGGTTATGAGCTCACTTGGGGAACAAGACAGCTAACCGCAGTTCCTTAGTCACAGCTTCACACAAAGCTTAGTGTTTAGTGCCTGTTTCTCTCTTTCACATACACAATAATAACGAGTGCTCCCAAATTTGTACAGCTGGAACATGAACAAATTTGGCTTAATAAAACAAGTCACCTAAGGATTAATATTTGAATGAAAAGATGCAGCCAGATTCTATTTAAAACAACCTTGACATTAGAAAATGTTAGCAAGCTCTAAAAATGGCCACTTTTGCTCATGTTGAAAAATCTAGCCTGGCATGGTGGCACACACCTATAAGCCCAGCATCTTGGGAGGCTGAAGTGAGCCAGGATCACATCACTGCAATTTGGCCTGGGCAACAGAGCAAGAGTCCATCTCAAAATAAAAATAAGGCCGGTCGCGGTGGCTCAAGCCTGTAATTCCAGCACTTTGGGAGGCTGAGGCGGGTGGATCACAAGTTCAGGAGATCGAGACCATCTTGGCTAACACGGTGAAACCCTGTCTCTACTAAAAATACAAAAAATTAGCTGGGCGTGGTGGCGGGCGCCTGTAGTCCCAGCTACTCAGAAGGCTGAGGCAGGAGAATGGCGTGAACCCGGGAGGCGGAGCTTGCAGTGAGCTGAGATAGCGCCACTGCACTCCAGCCTGGGCAACACAGCGAGACTCCGTCTCAAAAAAAAAAAAAATTCATTCTGTTGGCCAGGTGCAGTGGCTGATGCCTGTAACCCCAGCACTTTGGGAAGCTGAAGCAAGGGAATCACTTTAGCCCAGCCTGGGTAACATGGTGAAACCCCATCTACAGAAAACTAGCTGGGTGTGGTGGTGCATGCCTGTAGTCCCAGCTACTCAGGAGGCTGAGGATGGAGGATCGATTGAACCTGGGAGGTCAAGGTTGCACTGAGTTGTAATTGTGCCTCTGCACCAGTCTGGGCAACAGGAGGCCCTGTCTTAAAAAATAATTAAATACATAAATAATCATTCTCTTAACCAAACACACATCCAATCTCTTTGTTCTCTGCCATCTCCTCAGTGCCCAGAACAGTGGCTGGCATACAATTGGCCTCAATTAACACCTGTGAATGAATGAATTTTCAGACAGGTGCTCGAAGGGGTTAAATAATACACCCCGCTCACAGACGCTGGGGAAGTTCACCCCTGAAGCCCAGGCTCTTTTCTTTACATTGCATGAAGTAACCACAATTACTGATACTTTAATGATTGTCTACTATGTAACTATTACAAACTGGATTGCAACAGGAAGTTAGTTGGTATAAATTATCTTGTCAGGGCCCTTTAATTAATCTTTATAAATTTATAGATAGCTTAAATACCATTTGCACAAATTCTAGAGGACACAAAACTAGCACAATTCAGGTACGTACAACACACAGCACAAAACACACGGCATAAGAAAAGAAGGCTAAGCAGGGCACGGTGGTTCACGCCTGTAATCCCAGCACTTTGGGAAGCCAAGGGGAGGCGGATCACCTGAGGTCTGGAGTTTGAGACCAGCCTGGCCAACATGGCGAAATCCCGTCTCTATTAAAGATACAAAAATTGGCCAGGCGTGGTGGCGCATGCCTCTAGTTCCAGCTACTGGGGAGGCTGAGGCAGGATAATCTCTTGAACCCAGGAGTCGGAGGTTGCAGTGAGTCGAGATTGAGCCACTGCACTCCGGCCTGGGCAACAGAGCAAGATTCAGTTTCAAAAAAAAAAAGAAAAGAAAAGAAAAGAAAACATGACTAAGCACTTCAAGGCTTAATGTATAATTCAGTGTCATCTCAGGCAATGATATCAAGCCTCCACCTCCTTGTGACATTTATAAGTGGTTTAACATCTAAGCCTCAGTATCTTTATAAAATGGAATAACAGTGCCTATCATGTGGAAATGTGATGTAAGGGGAAAACCATGCCTGGCCAACAGTAAGTGCTCAATAAATGTCTGACTGTGTTATTATTACAATCACCAACTAAAGACTTCTAAAAAGATTGTTAACTGTGCCCTTCAATTAGCACCACGTGGTAGAAAGAGCGTAAACTATGACATGACTGCTTTGGGTTTGAGACAACTCTTCTAGTCTAACTCCATGACCTTGGGCTGGTCGATTCCTCCGTTGAATCTCAGTTTCTCATTCTTTAAAATGGTGATGACGGCAGGCATCTTGCAGGGTTGTTGTAACAAAGTACCTAGGCCTCTCCGAATGGCAGTTAGCTCTTCCCTTCCGCTACGGGCTAGAAGGTGGAGAGATGGGAAAGGAAGAGGACGAGGGAGCAGCGGCCTCCAGAAATGTTGACAGAGAGGTGAAGGTTCACGATCTACGGGGCGTTTCATCACCGCCGCCGGGGGCTCCACGCTTCTCTCCCTTCCTTGACGGCTGAGCAGCCACTGGGGCCTCCCCGCCTCCTGCCTGTCTGTGTCTCCGGCAATTGTGCATCCGCGTCGGAAGACACCCTCCACCCCACTACCCCTGCAGCCGTAGTCACAGCGAGGAGACTCACTCTTTTCTAGGCCCTGAAACCGCCACTCGGAAGTTGGAACCTGCCCTCACCTGTAAGGCTGACACCAGGTCTCAATGTCAGCAGCGCTCGGGGGCCGCAAGAGGTCAGGGAAGACGCAAAGGCGGGGACGCTCAGCTTGCGGCTCAGCCATGCCCCCACCACGCCCTCCCTGGGCGGCCGGGCCCCTCTACCCGATATAGCCGGCAGCCGCGGGGTCCCCACAACCACCAGCAACCAGCGTGTGGAGCACCGCGCAGCCATCTTGGCCCGGGGACTCTGCGCCTGCGCCGCCCGGCTCTAGGTGGGCCTCGCGGGAACGGCGGGCGCGCGTAGAGGCGCATGCGTCGCGCACGCGCAGGCGCACCGTACGCGTAGCCGCAGCCAACGCGCCTTCCGGGTAGCCATCGCCGAAACGGGGTTTGCTCTGAAGAGTGTTGTTAGGTAGACTCGCCGTGCAGAACCTCGCTATTCTGTGCTAGACAACCAATGGGTGTACGTTATCGGTGTAAGGACGTGGTTGAATGTAGCCGAACTTAAGTGGTCCGAGGGGTCTGGCTAAGGGCGAGACTACAAGTCCCAGCATACAACGCGGTCCTCCGTCGCGCCGCTCCCAGCATGTAGTGCGTGGTTTCCTCCTGCTGACCCTGAGACTTACGACGAATTGCGTGAGTTTTACTCATGCCGTCTCCGCGCGCTTCTAGTAAATCTTCGTCGCCACCCTCAGAATCCTGGCCGCAGTCTCACTGTCTCTTAGGCTGATTCCCCACCCGCCTCCTCTAACAAGACTCAGTTCTCCTTTTTTTCTTTTTTTTTTTTTTGACAGAGAGTCTCGCTCTGTCGCCAGGCTGGAGTGCAGTGGCGCGATCTCAACTCACTGCAACCTCCTCCTCCCGGGTTCAAGCAATTCTCTGCCTCAGTCTCCCGAGTAGCAGGGATTACAGGCGCGCGCCACCGCGCCCGGCTAATTTTTTTGTATTTTTAGTAGAGACGGGGTTTCACCATCTTGGCCAGGCTGGGTCTTGAACTCCTGACCTCGTGATCCACCCGTCTCGGCCTCCCAGAGTGCTGGGATTACAGGCGAGAGCCACCGCGCCGACCTCAGCTCTCTCCTTAAGCGTGTTAGCCTTCTCCAAACCTGCAGTGAACTTGCTGGTTCCGAATGGGAGCCGTGCTGCCCAAAAACTAAATTAGTAAAACTTGTGAGCGCCTACTGTGTGTCATGCATGTTCTAGAATATCGGGGATACAGTGATGCCTGATACACCATCCCTGTTCGGGAGGAGCAAACAATGACTCGAGAGAGGCTCCTTAGCAACTAACAATGTTAAATGCTATCACAGGAATAAGCACTGTTACAGTCATACAAGGTGAAGGAGTCATTCCATTTCTAAAATGGGAGAGAGGAAGTTTGGGATGTCAGGGCTTCTAAGAGGTAAGATTCAAACTGAACATCGATGAAAAGTGTGTCAGGTAGGGATGGAGTATTCCAAGTAGCCTGAACTTAAGAAACAAATGTCTAAGATATGAAAGTGTTTGCCTTCTTTGCTTAAACCCTAAATTTAAGAGTATGTGATGAGGCCGGTCGCGGTGACTCACGCCTGTAATTCCAGCATTTTGGGAGGCCGAGGTGCCGGCGGATCACGAGGTCAGGAGTGCCAGACCAGCCTGGCCAACATGGTGAAACCCCGTCTCTACGAAAAATACAAAAATTAGCCAGTCATGGTAGCACGCACCTGTAATCCCAGCTCCTCGGGAGGCTGAGGCAGGAGACTCGCTTGAACCCAGGAGGCGGAGGTTGCAGTGAGCCAAGATCGCGCCACTGCACTCCAGCCTGGGCAAGAGAAACTCCATCTCAAAAAAAAAAAAAAAAAGAAAAGAAGTGGTGGCCGGGCGCAGTGGCTCACGCCTGTAATCCCAGCACTTTGGGAGGCCGAGGCGGGCGGATCACCTGAGGTCCGGAGTTCGAGACCAGCCTGACCAACATGGAGAAACCCCGTCTCTACTAAAAATACAAAATTAGCCGGGCGTGGTGGCGCATGCCTGTAATCCCAGCTACTCCGGAGGCTGAGGCAGGAGAATGGCTTGAACCCGGAAGGTGGAGGTTGCAGTGAGCCGAGATCACGCCATTGCACTCCAGCCTGGGCAAAAAGAGCGAAACTCTGTCTCAAAAAAAAAAAGTATGTGATGAGATGAGGCTAGGAAGGGAGACCTGACCTGGTTAGTCTTGCAAAGGACTTTCAATTTTCACACTCCCACCATCATAACCACCTCAAGCAATGGGGAAAAAACCTGAGGATTCTTGTTTGGATTTAAAACAAACTGTGCTCATAAATCTTCACCCCCATCCCCAAAGCCTGGGAATCTGTGCTACTCCCCCTCCCCGCTACTCCCAGCATTGTACACCAAATTTTTGTGTACGTGGATGTTAATTTGGGTAGATACCCATAGCTTTCGTCAAATTCTCCACAGGCATTGAGACTCGAAGATTAAAAACCACCGGTCCTGCCAGGCACGGTGGCTCACGCCTGTAATCCCAGCACTCTGGGAGGCTGAGGCAGGCGGATCACCTAAGGTCAGCAGTTCGAGACTAGCCTGACCAACATGGAGAAACCCTGTCTCTACTAAAAATACAAAATTAGCTGGATGTGGTGGCGCATGCCTGTAATCCCAGCTACTCGGGAAGCTGAGGCAGGAGAATTGCTTGAACCCAGGAGGCGGAGGTTGCGGTGAGCCGAGATCGCGCCATTGCACTCCAGCCTGGGCAACAAGAGTGAAACTCCCTCTCAAAAAAAAATAATAATAATAAATAAATAAATAAAACCACCAGTCCTTTGAAGAACAGTGACCAAGCTATTGTAAATTGCAAGTAATAGTTGGAGAGAGTTTGGGCTACGGAATGGGGAGGACTGAGATGAACAAGGGTGTTGGGAGGTGAGCAAGAGTTCCTTTAATACATTCAGCAAATACTTAAATGACCAGCATAGTGATGAAGAGTATGGGTTCTGGGCCAGGCACAATGGCTCACGCCTGTAATCCCAGCACTCTGGGAGGCTGAGGCGGGCGGATCACCTGAGGTCAGGAGTTCAAGACCAGCCTGGCCAACACGATGAAACCCTGTCTCTACTAAAAATACAAAAATTAGCCGGGAATGGTGGCAGGCGCCTGTAATCCCAGCTACTCGGGAGGCTGAGGCAGGAGAATTGCTTGAACCCGGGAGGCGGAGGTTGCAGTGAGCTGAGATAGTGCCACTGTACTCCAGCCTGGGTGACAGAGTGAGACTTTGTCTCAAAAAAAAAAGATACGGGTTCTGACTGGGCGCGGTGGCTCATGCCTGTAATCCCAGCGCTCTGGGAGGCCGAGGAGGGCAGATCACAGCGTCAGGAGTTCAAGACCAGTCTGGCCAACATAGTTAAACCCCGTCTCTACTAAAAATACAAAAATTAGCCAGGTATGGTGGCACATGCCTGTATTTCCAGCTACTGGGGAGGCTGAGGCAGGAAAATCGCTTGAACCCAGAAGGCAGAGGTTGCAGTGAACCAAGATCGCGCCACTGCACTCCAGCCTGGGCAACAAGATCAAAACTCCGTCTCAAACAAAAAAAGAGTATGGGTTCTGTGGCCAGGCGCGGTGGCTCACACCTGTAATCCTAGCATTTTGGGAGGCTGAGGCGGGCGGATCACCTGAGGTCAGGTGTTGGAGACTAGCCTGGCCAACATGGAGAAACCTCGTCTCTACTGAAAATACAAAAGTTAGCCGGGCGTGATGGTAGGCGCCTATAATCCCAGCTACTCGGGAGGCTGAGGCAGGAGAATTGCTTGAATCAAGGAGATGGAGGTTGCAGTGAGCCAAGATTGCGGCACTGCACTCCAGCCTGGGCGACAGAGTGAGGCTCTGTCTCAAAAATAAAGAGAAAAAGAGTATGGGTTCTGTGCTAGGCATGGTGGCTCATGCCTGTCAATCCCTGCACCTTGGGAGGCCAAGGCAGGAGAATCACTTGGGCCCAGAAGTTCAAGACCAGCCTTGGCAACATAGCAAGACCTCATCTTTACAAAAAAAAATTTTTTAATTGGCCGGGCATGGTGGCGCATGCTTGTGGTCCCAGTTATTTGGGAGGCCAAGGTGGGAGGACCACTTCAGTCCAGGAGTTCAAGTCTACAGTGAGCTATGATAGTGCCACTGCATTGCAGCCTGAGCAACAGAGCAAGACACTTTCTCAAAAAAAAAAAAAAAAAAAAAAAAAAAAAGAGTATAGCTCTGGAGTCAGACAGCCTGGGATTGAATTCTAGCTGTGCCACTTACCAGCTGTGTGTCCTTGGGCAACTTACTTCACTCTGTTCTTCTGTTTCCTTTTCTCTAGAATGGGGACATAGGCCAGGCACGGTGGCTCACACCTGTAATCCCAGCATTTTGAGAGGCTGAGGTGGGAGGATTGCTTGAGTCTGGGAGGCTGAGGCTGCAATGGGCCATGATTGTGCCACCGCACTCCAGCCTGGGTGACAAATGGAGACCATATGTCAAATAAATAAATGAGGACTTAATAGTAACGACGTCGGCCAGGCGTGGTGGCTCACGCCTGTAATCTCAGCACTTTGGGAGGCCGAGGTGGGGGGATCACCTGAGGTTCAAGAGCAGCCTGGCCAACATGGTGAAACCCCATCTGTACTAAAGAGTACAAAAATTGCCGGGTGTGGTGGCTCACGCCTGTAATCCTAGCACTTTGGGAGGCCGAGGCAGGTGGATCACCTGAGGTCAGGAGTTCAAGACCAGCCTGGGCCACTTGGTGAAACCCTGTCACTACAAAAATACAAAAATGAGCCGGGCACAGCGGCACGTGCCTATAATCCCAGCTACTTTGGAGGCTGAGGCATGGGAATCACTTGAACCCAGGGGGTGGAGGCTGCAGTGAGCTGAGATTGCACCACTGCACTCCAGCCTGGGCAACAGTGAGACTCTTCCTCAAAAAAAAAAAAAAAAAAAATTTCACCAGGCGTGGTGGCGCGCACCTGTAGTCCCAGTTACTGGGGAGACTGAGGCAGGAGAATCACTTGAACCTGGGAGGCGGAGGTTGCAGTGAGCCGAGATCACGCCACTGCATTCCAGCCTGCACAACACAGCAAGACTCTGTCTCAAAATAAAGCAAAACAAAAAATAGTAATGTCCTCAAAGGGTCATCTGAGTGACATAATCATGTAAAGGCTTCCTATAGTACTTGATGCGTAGCCATTGCTCAATCTGTGTTGGCCCCATGTGCCAGGCTGTACTAAGCACTGAGGATACTAAGAACTCAGACAGAGTTACTTACTCACGGGGAGCCCAAAACTTAGGAGAAATGGGGGTTGGGGGGATGCTGCTGGTTGAGAAGAACAACTTTCAAGTATAGAAGCTGAAAACAAGAGCCAAAAGGACTTCCATTTACTACCTCAGAGTGAGTTAGGAACTAGAGGAGAGCTCAGTAATATGAAAACTGTCACCGTTGTAACTTCCCCCCCTTTTTTTCTTTGTATTTTCGTTTATCCCCCATCTAGTTCCCCATAGTGATGAACAGTAAAAATCCTCCACGTTGAAATGGTGTGTGTGTTCTTGTTTTCAGGGATAGCAGGAAGGCTGATTGTTGGGGAGCCAGTATTTTCTATTATGAAGCAGAGAACTCTTAAGGAGTGGAGTGGATGATGGTAATTACCAAAAGAGAGGACAAAGTCCTTGGGATCTGCCACACAGAAGAAAGAAAAACATGGGAAAGACTCCCAGCTGAGAGCAGCCTGGGCCTATGCCTGGTCTCTTTTTGGTTAGACTTTATTATTATTTATTTTTGAGACAGTGTTTTGCTCTTGTTGTCCAGGCTGGAGTGCAATGGCACGATCTTGACTCACTGCAACCTCCACCTCCTGGGTTCAAGCGATTCTCCTGCCTCAGCCTCCTGAGTAGCTGGGATTACAGGCATGCACCACTGCACCCAGCTAATTTTGTATTTTTGGTACAGACGGGGTTTCGCCATGTTGGCCAGGCTGGTCTCGAACTCCTGACCTTAAGTGATCTGCCCGCCTCAGTCTCCCAAACTGCTGAGATTACAGGCATGAGCCACTGTTCCCTGGCTTTGTTTTCTATTTTGATATGAGCCCAACCCTATGAGGTAGGTAGCGGGAGGACTATTCCCATTTTTACAAACGGACACCACCCCGCCCACAAAGAAAAAAAACAACAATAAAATAAGCTCTGAAAGATGAAAAGACTTGTCCAAGGCCACACAGCTAGTAAGTGAGTGAATGAAGACCCAAGCCCAGGTCTTCTCACAACAAAACTGTGTGTTTTTCCTTTAAACCACGTGCCTATCAATCGTCATTGCGATCAGTATCTCCCAAGCATATGGCTCTTGGGAGTTTCTGAAGTACTTTCTCATGCTTATTTTCATTTGCTTTTCACAACAAAAGAGAGGCAGGGCAAGCATTTATTACTACCATGGGTACAAACTGCTGCCCTGCCTTTCAAGGACTTCTGCTGCAACTGGACACAAATGGATCCATCCCAGGCTTGTTGCCAAAGACTGCAGAAGCCACAAGCTACACCTATCCTCAGTGCCAGTCAGAATATGATCCCGTGTTCTCCAGGCAGAAGCTCAAAAATGTGAGCTTTAAGGAGAAACAGGCCGGGCACAGTGGCTCACGCTTGTAATCCTAGCACTTTGGGAGGCCGAGGTGGGCAGACAGCCTGAGCTCAGGAGTTTGAGACCAGCCTGGGCAACATGGCGAAATCCCATATCTACTAAAAATTCAAAAATTAGCCAGGCATGGTGGTATGCACCTGTAATCCCAGCTACTCGGGAGGCTGAGGTAGGAAAATCACTTTAATCCAGGAGACAGGTTATGGTGAGCTGAGATCACACCATTGCACTGCCTTGGCAACAGAGACTTTATCTCAAAAAAAAAAAAAAAAAAAAGGAGAAACAAATGTTACTTGCAAAGGGAACACAAAGTCGTAAGCGTTTCCCCCTCCACACTTTCATTTCACTAGACCAGCAATTCCACAGAGCACTTTCCCCATCTCCTGAGCTGTGGATATCTGTGAGAGCTGCGAAGGGGTTTAATGGTGCTCCCCGACAGTGCTGGGCTGAAGGCAATGGGAGACAAGACGGTCTCTGTGATTTCTTGCTGAAACCACTGATCATTTGAAGTATAATGGGACTGGCCAAGTTCATGGCTGCCAATGGCTGCAACTCTCCCATGTGAGCTCAGAGATCTTTTACAGAGGGCAGAAGAGCCTGAGCCCAGCTCTTCAGGGGCATGATTTGTCTTAAGTATAGCATTTTCTTTACTTCACACAGAGTATAGGACAATTCCAAGTGGGTGAGGAATGTGTGGTCCAGATGTTCTGGTCTGTGATGTCTGTAGCAGGTGCAGTTCCCTATGAAAGGGGATGATGAGCTGTGCCTCGGTCGCCTAGGATCCAGTGGGACCACTGTCCTGATGATTTTCTTTCTTTCTTTTTTTTTTTGAGACAAAATCTCGCTTTTGTCTCCCATACTGGAGTGCAATGGCATGATCTCGGCTCATTGCAACCTCCACCTCCCGGGTTCAAGTGATTCTCCTGCCACAGCCTCCCGAGTAGCTGGGATTACAGGCACCTGCCACCACGCCTTGTATTTTTAGTAGAGACGGGGTTTCACCATGGTGGCCAGGCTGGTCTTGAACTCCTGACCTCAGGTGATCCACCCACCTCGGCCTCCCAAAGTGCTGGGATTATAGGCGTGAGCCACCATGCCCAGCCACTTGATGATTTTCTTTTTTTTTCTTTTTTTTTTTTTTTTTGAGACAGAGTCTCGCCCTGTCACCCAAGCTGGAGTTCAATGGCACGATCTCGACTCACTGCAACCTCCGCCTCCCGGGTTCAAGCAGTTCTCTGCCTCAGCCTCCCAAGTAGCTGGGATTACAAGCACCCACCACCACGCCCAGCTAATTTTTATATTTTTAGGACAGACAGGGTTTCACCATCTTGGCCAGGCTGGTCTTGAACTCCTGACCTGGTGATCCACCCACCTTGGCCTCCCAAAGTGCTGGGATTACAGGCGTGAGCTACCGCGCCCGGCCAACCTGATGATTTTCTAAAAACCTTTTTGGACTGGGCGCAGTGGCTTATGCCTCTAATCCCAGCACTTTGGGAGGCTGAGGCAGGTGGATCACTTGAGGTCAGGAGTTTGAGACCAGCCTGGCCAACATGGCAAAATCCCATCTCTACTAAAAATACAAAAATTAGGAGTAGTGGCGCACACCTGTAATCCCAGCTGCTTGGGAGGCTGAAGCAGGAGAATCGCTTGAACTCAGGAGGTGGAGGTTGCAGTGAGCTGAGATGACACCACTGCACTCCAGCCTGGGCAACAGAGTGAGACTCTGTCTCAAAACAAACAAACAAAAAGCCTTTTCAATAAACCACAAGTGACTTTGGTTCACAGTAAATACACTTCTGCCCGAACTAAGATAAAATGTAAGCATTGCTTTTCAAACCTTAGAAATGCAAGAATCAGCTGGGTGCGTTGGCTCATTCCTATAATCCCCACACTTTGGCAGGCCAAGTTGGGAGGACTGCTTGAGTCTCGTTCGAGACCAGCCTGACCATCATGGTGAAACCCCGTCTCTTACTAAAAATAAAAAATTAGTTGGGCGCGGTGGCAGGCGCCTGTAATCCCAGCTATTCGGGAGGCTGAGGCAAGAGAATTGCTTGAACCCGCGAGGCAGAGGGTGCAGTGAGCTGAGATCGCGCCACTGCACTCCAGCCTGGGTGACAGGGACTCCGTGTCAAATAAATGAATAAATACTAAAGAAAAATTAAAAGCTATTATTATTATTATTTTTAGAGGCAGGGTCTCTTTCTGTCTCCCAGGCTGGAGTGCAGTGGCACGGTCACAGATAACTGCAGCCTCGACCTCTTGGGCTCAAGGGATACTCCTGCCTCAGTCTCCCAAAGTTCGGGATTACAGACCTGAGCCACCGCGCCTGGCCGGATGCAGAGCGCCTGGCCGGATGCAGAGGCTTTTGAGTAGGCCCGGTGGACAGGGATTTGCTTTAGACCTGGGCCCCTGTTCCCCCTCTGCCTCTTACCACTGGTGTGACCTGGGGACCGACAGTTTACACTCTCCTTTAGCCGGGGGTTTCCTGTCTCTGAAATGGAGCTAATTTCTCCCCTCTCTACAGGAAGAGGTAGATAGTGCTGGAAGGCGTGCTAGGTACACCGCAAAGACTCCACAGCAAATCCTGCACACAAAATCGCGAATGCTGCAGCCGAGACCCCACGCAAGCAAGCACCGCAGGAGACGTGGGCTGACAGCTGCGCCCCACGTGACCTCCCACCCGCGCCAGTCCGTCCCCTCGGTATCAGGGCGTGGCCTCGCGGGGCGGCCGTACCTGGATTGGCCGGGAGGCGGGACCGGTGGTGCGCGCGCGAAAGGAGAGGGGCTTGGGGGCGTGGCCCAGGGGGCCGGAGACGGCTGCGATTGGCAGTGGGGCGCGCCGGGGGCGTGACCGCGGCATTGGGTCCCGGGTGGGGCCGAGGCAGCGGGAGTCGCGGTTGCTCAGCGTGCACCTGAGACCCGACGCCCGGGGTCCTCGAAGACGCGTCCGCCGCCGTGCCCGTCGCCATGAACCGCTTCAGGGTGTCCAAGTTCCGGCACACCGAGGCTCGGCCGCCCCGCCGCGAGGTGAGTCCGGCCCGAGGACCGGGCGCTGTCGCCTCGGGCCCCGTCCGGCTGCCCCTCCCCCTGCCCGGACCCCACAGGGGTGCCCTCCAGGGCCGTCTGGAACCCCGAGACCTCCATCCCCGGGGAACCCCCCTTCAGGCCAGGGCCCCGGCGTCCGGGCCGTTTCGTCGCCGCCGGAGGGCAGAGTCCGGCACTCCCGTGACTCGCTCTGGCGCTCGGTGACCCTGGCGGTCTGCCCGCCTCGCCCACCTCGCCCCGGGACCCCCGAGGCGGCGCAGCCCTCCTAGCCGGGGCCCAGGCCTGCGAGGCCGCCTGCCTTCCCAGCTTCCGGTCGGCCTCGCCGGGAGCCGGGGCTCGGGGCGCTGCCGGCGCCTGGCTCCTCCTCCCTGCCGCCCCGGGTCGCCCCTGCCCCTGGCTGGGCTGTGGGGAGACGCCCCTCTCTCCTCTGGCCCCGGCGAGCCCAAGTGTGTCAGTGGTGGGGAGGGAGCCCCTCGGCCGCACGCGCCCCTCCCTCGGGTTTCCGCCGGTGCTTCCTCCTCTCGCCGCTGGCGCAAGCTCTTTCTTTATCTCGGTGATGCTGCCACGGCTGGGTGGGGCCTGGGGAAGCCTGAGCAGGTGGAGCCCCAAAGAATTGCTGAGCCAGGTGCCGGGAGACCCTTCGGACCCCCGAAACGGCAGGAGGACTGATGAGGGGTGCGCCTTGGAAACGATGTCAGCTCTGCTCTTCCGCTTTCCGTGTTATTTGTAAGGCCTGGGAGTGTCCTCCGATAACTGGGCCTAGGAGTTGACCTCAAGTGACCCCATCAGGGTCCCAGAGCAAGTCAGGGCAGTCTGGGTAGAGGTTCCGTTTTTGTAGTGTGGACTATATTTCCTCTGCTTCCACTTTATGCTGTGCTAAGCTGCTGGAGACATCCCGGTGAACACAACGGCATTTTCCTTCCCCTGTGGCACTTGTAGCCTCATGAGGGAGACAGCAAGCAGACAAACAAGAGCATTGGAGGTTTTCATAACGACATTGAAGAACACACATGAGGGACTGGGATGGAGAATGGAGGGGGCCAGTCTCAGTAGCGTGGTCAGGAAAGGCTGCCTGGAGTAGATGGCATTTTAGCTGAGGCCAGAAGGGTGAGAATTGAGAAAGAGCCTGGTGGAGAAATGGAAAGTGAGCATGAGTGGATGGAGGGGATGGCCGGAGCAGTATGGTGACAGATGAGTCCAGAGTGGTCCTGCAGAACCCAAGGGCCACCGGAAGAAGTTGGGTTTTATTCTGATTGCAGTGCAGAGCCATTGAAAAGTTAGGGGGAGGGGCTGGATACCATGACTCACGGTAATCCCAGTACTTTGGGTGGACTGCTTTGAGCTCAGGAGTTCGAGACCAGCCTGGGCAACATTGCGAAACCCCTCTGAACAACAAGTTAAAGAAAAAAAAATTAGCCAGGTGTGGTGACTCACTCCCGTGGTCCCAGCTACTTGGGAGGCTGAGGTTGGAGGATCTCTTGAGCCGAGGAAGTGGAGGTTGCAGTGAGCCGAGATTGTGCCACTACACACCAGCCTGGGCAATAGAGTGAGACACTGTCTCAAAAAAAGAAAAAAACAAACAAGAAAAGTTAGGAGGAGGTACCTAGGTTTGCATCAAGACAGCCGGTGGCTCTGAGTGCAGTTAAGTACTGCTTGGAGGGGTCTGGAGAATACTTGAGGGGCCCTAATTCTTGCTCCTGGGTGGGCCTTAGTCCAGCAACATAAACAGATAGGCATGGAACTACAGACTGTAGGGAGAGCTTAAAACAGTTTATGTTAGGGAGGCGGGAGAACAGGTGATCTGTTCTTTTCAGAGATATTTGCAGTCACTGTGTTTATACAGTAAACATGAATCAGGAGGGAGAAATAATAGGGTGGGACTGATGCTGTAACCATGGCAGGTGAACACTGATATAGAAACTTCAGGTGGTGGAGGTGGTTTCCGGGGTGCTATGGGTGGGTGGAGTGGGAAACATGGGTGTCCTGTCATCGAGGGCAGGAAGGAGTGCTGAGCGGTGCTTTGACAACAGAGAAAATGTGTGGACCTTGCAGATCTTAGTTTCAGAAACGTGCTCCTCTGCCTCCCCTTGGGTGGGGGTGTTTCTTTTACTGACTTATGAGACTTTGTGGAAAGGTGTGTCCTGATGAGGCCAGGCCTTGGTGGTTCCCCTCTCTGAGCTTGGGTGTTTTTCTCCGGGTACTTGGAGGAGGCCTGGCCACATTTTGCATTTTCTTTTTTTTTTTTTTTTTGAGATGGAGTCTCGCTCTGTTGCCCAGGCAGGAGTGCAGTGGCATGATCTCGGCTCACTGCAACTTCCGCCTCCCAGGTTCAAGTGATTCTCCTCCCTCAGCCTCCTGAGTAGCTGGAATTGTATGTAGGTGCCCGCCACCATGCCTGGATAATTTTTGTATTTTTAGTAGAGATAAGGTTTCACCATGTTGGCCAGGCTGGTTTCGAACTTCTGACCTCAGGATGATCTGTCTGCCTCAGCCTCCCAAAGTGCTGGGATTACAGGCATGAACCACCGCACCTGGCCCACATTTTACATTTCCTAAGGGACTTCGTGAGTGGGGACAGAGTTTGATTTGAAGTAACACAACACGGCTGGGGGCGGAGGCTCATGCCTGTAATCCCAGCACTTTGGGAGACCAAGGCAGGCAGATCACTTGAGGCCAGGAGTTCGAGACCAGCCTGGCCAACATGGTGAAACCCCATCTCTACTAACAATACAAAAATTAGCTGGGCTTGGTGTTGGGCGCCTGTAATCCCAGCTACTCAGGAGGCTGAGGCAGGAGGATCACTTGAACCCAAGAGGCAGAGATTGCAGTGATCCAAGATCGCGCCACTGCACTCTAGCCTGGGTGACAGAGTGAGACCCTGTCTCAAAAAGAAAAAAAAAGTAAATAAAAGAATGCATCTCGAATGGTGCAGCTGTGAGCTAGAGTTCCCCAGATTATGCCCCACCTCTTGCTTTAGGCATGCATGGAGGTGGAACCCTGGCTCTCACCACATACTTCTTTACTCTTGATTTTCAGTCCTGGATCAGTGACATTCGAGCAGGAACCGCCCCTTCATGCAGGAACCACATCAAATCAAGCTGCAGCTTGATCGCCTTCAACTCCGACCGTCCTGGTAGGGAATGGCCATGAGTGTGGATATTTGCTCACATATTCGGTCATCGTCACCATAGATGGGGTGGGGAGCAGGGGCAGGCTTGGTGTATTTGGAGACTTGGAACGGAACTGCTTTGGGGGGCTCAGAGGTGAGCCCCATGCCAGACCTTAGACCCCCACAAACTGGTCCAGGCGCAGTAATCTGATTGCTTTTGATTAGGACATATGTGTGTACAAACCACAGGCAAGAGCATGGCCAGGAGGGCTGGGAGGGGACTGACGCTTGTATTTCCAGCTGTCCCTCTGTGCTCCCTGCTCCTCATCTTTGGGCCCTGGATGGCTGGGGACAGTAGGAACAGAAAGGCTTGAAAAGCCCGTGTGTTGGTTGGCACTCTCTTGATTGCTAGTGGTAACTCAGACCCTCAAGCTGGCTTAAGCAAAAAATGGATAATGTTTCAGCCTAACTAAGAGATCAGGGGCTTCAGGCAGATCGGTGCCCAAAGGCTCACATGTACTGTCGGCCCTGACCTCTCTGGGTCTCTCAGCTCTGCCACCTTGGGTGTTGGCTTCTTTCTCAAGTAAAAGTGCGAAAAGTGGCTGACGGTAGCTGCAAGCCCCATACGAAAGCCCCACGCCCCTTTCGTATGACCCGTGTTAAAAAGAGAGGACCTCTCGCCTAATGTCTTCTGTATCCATCTGAGGCATGGATGGCTCATGCATGGGGCCAGAACCTACCCACAGGCCATTGCTACGTGCAGAGGATATGATCTTGTGATTGGTAGAGGCTCTGGGAAGGTCCGAGGCTGAGCTGCTGGATTTCATCTCTGGGATCCCTGGGCAAGGAGGTGGGTGGCCCTGTGGGGCCTGAAGTCAGAGTCCCCGTGTTTGTTTAACAGGTGTACTGGGCATTGTGCCTCTGCAAGGCCAAGGAGAGGACAAGCGACGCGTGGCCCACCTGGGCTGCCATTCAGGTGAGTGGGTGTCTGACTAGTGGGTGAAGCCTGAAACTTGCACCTCCCTCTCCAGGGCCAGAAATTCATCCTCACCTGGTCCCACTGCCGCATGGCTTGCCAGGTCCCTCCTGTCGCCCTGTCTGTGCACTCTCTGAGAGACAGTGGGGCTCAGAAGGCTTCCTCCTGGTGTAGAATTCCGGCCTGGGCAGTGAGGAGGGAAGCTGTGTGCTCCGGTTGTGAGCTGGATGGAGCGGGGTGTGCAGTGGCCGCCCCAGGCTCCAGGCTGATGCTGGCTCCCTGTCCCTGCCGAGGACTCCACGTTGGATGGCTCTGAGCCCTCCGTCTTCTGCTGGAGTCCCCTCTCCACCAGGCATCCTCCCCAGCCCAGCCGCTCGGGGCCCTCCAAGGAGGTCGCTGTGTTGGGCTGCAGGGGTGGAGATGGGCCCTCACAAAGAGACCTTTTGTGTGCCGCAGCTGCTTCTGGGGGCGTCCAGCAGCCTGCCTGGCAGGCTGTCCGCCTCGAGGGAACAGTTTGCTCGCCTCAGATGGAGGCAGAGCAGCCCAGCTGGCCTCGCCTCTCACTGTCCAGCTGCAGCGGCCGCGGGCCCAGTCTCTCTGGCCTGCATTTCTGGCTGCTTGTTTGGAGGCCTTCGGGTGAGGGAAGGCAGTTGATGCCTGGTCCTCAGGCTGGGTGTGCAGGGTCGTGGAGGGGTTCTGATATGATAATGATGGTGGTTAATAACAATAGTAAAGATTTATGGAGATTGCTCTCTGTACTAAGTACGTTAGCTGAGTTTTCTCATCTAAACTTTTTTAAAAAATTTTTAAAAAGTATATAGAGACGAGGTCTTGCTATATTGCCCGGGCTGGTCTCAAACTTCTGGGCTCAAGCAATCCTCCCAAGTCAACCTCCCAAAGTACTGGCATTACAGGTGTGATCCACCAGGCCCAGCCAACGTTACCTGTTTTTTGTTTGTTTTTGTGACAGGGTCTTGCTCTGTCACTCAGGCTGGAGTGCAGTGGCATAATCATGGCTCACTGTAGCCTTGACCTCCTGGGCTCAAGCAATTCTTCCACCTCAGCCTCCCAAGTTGTCAGGACCACAGGTTTATGCCACCACCCCTCCAGCTAATTTTTAAAAATTTTTTGTAAAATGGGGTCTTGTTATGTTGCCCAGCCTGGTCTTGAACTCCTGGCCTCGAGCTATCCTCCCGCCTTGGCCTCCCAAAGTTTTGGGGCCCCGTCAGATTACCTGTTTTAAGTAAAGAGCCTGATGATTCTTATTAAAGTGACCGAGTCATGTGCACTGCCATCCAGTTTTGGAACGTTTCCATCATCCCCAAAAGATCCCGCATGCCCCTTTGCAGTTAATCCATTTCCACCTCCAATACCACAGCCTCAGGCAACAGCTGATCTGCTTCCTGCCTCTGTGGCAGAGGTCTGCAAACTACTGTCACGGCCAGATCCAGCTGGCTGCCTGTTTTTGTAAATAGTTTTATTGGAACGCTGCCACGCCCATTCATTGATGTATAGTCTGTGGTTGCTTTCTTGCAACAACTGCAGAGTTGAGTTGTGACCGAGACTGTTGAGCCCTGAAATCCTAGAATATTTACCGCCTTGCCCTTCGCAGGAGACGTTTACTGGCCTCTCCTCTATAGAGGGGCCTCTTTTGCGCATCTCACGCAAATGGAATCGCACAATACACGGTCTTTGGAATCTGGCATCTTTCACGTAGCATGTTGTTTTAGAGATACATGTGTGTGGCAGCTTGTATAACAAGTCTGTTCTCATCTAATCTCAGATCTCTTTGAAGTAGGTTTTAAAACAACCCATTTTATAGCTATGAAAACTGAGACTCCTGCAAGGTTAGGAACTTACCCATTGTTATGGCAGGGCCAGAATCAGAACCCAGGTCTATAGGAGCCTGTGTTTGGGTTTGTCTTTTTAGAGACAGGGTCTCTGTCTCTGTCATCCAGGCTGGAGTGTGGTGGTGCAATCATAGTTCACTGCAGTCTTGAACTCCTGGGCTCAAGGGATCGTCTATCCTCAGCCTCCCTAGTAGCTGGGACTATAGGCACACACCACCATGCCCAGCTGATTTTTTTATGTTTTGTGGAGATGGGGTTTTGCTGTGTTGCCCAGGCTGGTCCTGAACTCCTAGCCTCAAGTGATCTTCCCACCTTGGCCTCCCAAAGTGCTGAGATTATAGGCATGAGCCAATGTACCTGGCTTCATGTTTGACTTTTTGATGCTTTTTATCTATGAGGGAGCTAGCCCAAGTTGGTGATGCTTGCAAGGTGGTGAGCCCTCTGCTACTAGGGCTCTTCAAGTAGAAGCTGGACCAGGGTCCTGTAGGCAAGTCCATAGCCTCACTGTGGCTGCAACTGTTCAGAGCCTTGCCTGCATGAGCAGCCCTGCCGGGAAACTGCTCATGGGAAGGTGAGCTCCAGCACCCCTGGAACCTGCCCTAGAGGCACCAGGTGCCCTTCTGCCTCAGAGGTGCCGGTGTCGGGAGAAATGGCCAGGTGGGGCTCTGGCTGTTGCCCTGCCTTCAGAGGCCCCTTCAGCCTCTCAGCTCAGGGCCACTCTTGCCCTTCCGCCCAGCAGCCAGGGGAGCAGAGGGTGAGCAACTTCTGGGTGCGTTTCTGATGTCCAGGCTGTGGGGCGGCAGCTGGGGCCCGCTCCAGTGGGAAAAGGCAGCAGCATGTCATGCTGAGCAGCACAGGTTCTGAAGCTGGCCCTGTCTCTTAGCCGCGTGACTTGGGGCAGTTACTCACCCTCTCTGGGTTTTGGCGTCCTCATCCTCCAGTAGGGGATGCTGCTGCAGTGCCACCTGCTGCATCCTTATGAGGATTCAGTGAGGTCCCTGCGTGTCAACCCCTGGGCATCTGTGGTGCCAGCACATGCTGAGCACTCAGATTGCTTATGTCATCACATCTCATTCACGCCTGAGATGCCAGCCCGCCTGTGCCAGCTGCTACACCTGCCCAGGGACCTGCTTTGCCCTGCAGGGCCCAGCAAGCACACCCCAGAGTGAGGGCAGCAGGGGTTCTGTGGCTTTAGGCCCAGGAATGTTGTGGTCCTGCCAGCTGGGATTCCAGGCCAGGGCTATCCCAAGATGTGCCTGTGCACGTCCGTCCTATCTTTTCCCTGTCTCCTGAGGCCGGGAGGAAGACAGTCCTGCTCAGCCCTGTTGGGAGGCAGACAGCAGCAGGTGGTCGCTGTGCTCCCAGCTCTGGTGATACCTCTCGTCCTGTTCACACCCCGAAACCCCGCCACCCTCCATGCCTAGTCTCTACCTCCCCAACCACCCACCGCATTTCCCTCTGGGGTCTGGCTCACTCTGTGCACCCCACCTACCCCTCCCCACCTCTGGAGCTGAGCCGTTCAAGTTCTTAGTATTTAATTTTTGAGACAAGGTCTGGCTCTGCTGCCCAGGCTGGAATGCAGTGGTGTGATCTCTGCTCACTCCAACTTCTGCCTCCTGAGTTCAAGCAATTCTCCTGCCTCAGCCTCCTGAGTAGCTGGGACTATAGGCGCCCGCCACCACACCCAACTAATTTTTATATTTTTTGTAGAGACGGGGTTTCACCGTGTTGCCCAGGCTGGTCTTGAACTCTTGAGCCCAAGTGATCTGCCCACCTTGGCTTCCCAAAGTATTGGTATTACAGGCATGAGCCACCATGCCCGGCCACCATTCAGGTTCTTTGGTTGCAAAGAACTAAAGCCAACTCCGGCTTGCTTAACCAAAAAGCAATTTCTTAGTTGAGTCCTGGGGACCTTCCACGACTGAAGGAGCAGTGGGCTGTGCTGCCCTAGGAGGGGTCGGGCTGGGCAGCTGCGTTCCTGCAGGTGCCTGGTGACTCAAGCGGCTTCCTGCCCATTTCCTGCCAACCTCCTGATGCCAGAGCCCTTGGCCACCCTGGGTCAGCAGGGCCCTCGGGGACGTATGTCGCAGGAGGGGCCTGTGGCATTTGCCCCCATGGTGTCCAGAGGGCCCTTGTAGACTTGTAGCCTGTTTCTGTGTGCACACAAAAGTGTCACCTCGGAAGCCCTGGGCTTTGCTTCATACTGGGTTGGAAACAGGACATTCCGGTGGGTTCAGCCATTCCTCTCCCACAGACCTAGTCACCGACTTGGACTTCTCGCCCTTTGATGACTTCCTCCTGGCCACAGGCTCGGCTGACAGGACGGTGAGTGGAGCCAGTTGGAAGAGCTGCTCTATGTCCCAGCCCGTAGTCCAGGGCCTTCTGAGCCCCAGCGCCATCCCCACAGGGCTCTGCTGCCTCCCAGTCCAGCCCCACCCCACTCCCCAGGGCTGCGGGGCTGGTCTGAATTCCTGGTCCCACACTGGCTCCCAAGGGCTTGCTTGGAGCCGTGGCTCTGACCTGACCTGGAGCCCGAGGACAGCAGGTGGGGATGCTGCCAGAAACAGTAGAGCCACTTCCCCAACTCTGGGACCACACCGTGTGGTCTAGGAGCTGAGATTCCCTCCCTCCTTTCTCGGATGTGGGGTATGCAGCCCCTGGCCCAAGCAAGCTGAGGCGGGTGGGCGCTCCTCCCAAGGCCAAGGTGTGTGGTCTCCTGGAGCAGCCTAGTTCCAACACGGGACCTCACTGGGGTCACGGCAGCTGACTCAAGGCAGTGAGGCCCTCAGCCCTGTGCTCACGGACTTGGTCTTTCTTGCAGGTAAAACTCTGGCGACTGCCAGGGCCTGGCCAGGCCCTGCCCTCAGCACCCGGGGTGGTGCTGGGCCCCGAGGACCTCCCAGTGGAGGTACTGCAGTTCCACCCCACCTCTGACGGCATTCTGGTGAGCGCAGCAGGCACCACTGTGAAGGTCTGGGACGCAGCCAAGCAGCAGCCCCTGACAGGTACAGGCCACCCTGGCCTGCCCTTCCCAGGGCAGCCCCACTCTGGACAGCACTCCGTTTCTTTGTTGGCATGTTTAGTCACATAAATTTAAAAACAGATATCAAAGTTTTACACTTACATAGTATAAAAGTCTTAAGATTCTATGAGGCTGTAATAAACACCCCATCTCTCTTTGCTCTCCGTAGCCATCAGTTTCATCCTCTTACCTGTTTTTTTTTTTTTCTGTTGTTTTTCTCCATTTAAAAAAATAATGGCCGGGCGCGGTGGCTCATGCCTGTAATCCCAACACTCTGGGAGGCCGAGGTAGGTGGATCACCTGAGGTCAGGAGTTCAAGACCAGCCTGGCCAACATGGCAAAACCCCGTCTCTACTAAATATACAAAAATTAGCCGGGCGTGGTGGCACACACCTGTAATCCCAGCTACTCAGAAGGCTGCGGCAAGAGTATTGCTCCAACCCAGGAGGCAGAGGTTGCAGTGAGCCGAGATTGCACCACTGCGCTCCAGCCTGGGTGACAGAGTGAGATGCCGTCTCAAAAAAATAAAAATAAAAAATAACTTTGGCCGGGCGCGGTGGCTCACGCCTGTAATCCCAGCACTTTGGGAGGCCAAGGCGGGTGGATCACGAGGTCAGGAGTTCGAGACTAGCCTGGCCAACATAGTGAAACCGCGTCTCTACTAAAAATACAAAAACTTAGCTGGGTGTGGTGGCGGGTGCCTGTAATCCCAGCTACTCAGGAGGCTGAGGCAGGAGAATTGCCTGAACCCAGGAGGCAGAGGTTGCAGTGGCTATGGAGAGCGAAGAGAGATCGTGCCATTGCACTCCACCCTGGGGGACAAGAGCAAGACTCCATCTCAAAACAAAAAACAAAAAACAAAAAAACCAAAAAAAAACCTTCTTGGATGGGCGTCGTGGCGCACACCTGTAATCCCAGCACTTTGGGATGCCAAAATGGGAGGATCGCTTGAGCCCAATATTTTGAGAATTAGTCTGAGCAACATAGTGAGACACAATCTCTACAAAAAATTAAAAAATCAGCCAGGCGTGGTGGCGTGTGCCTGTCTGTGTCCCAGGTACTCAAGAGGCTGAGGTGGGAGGATTACTTGAACCCAGGAGGTGAAAGCTGCAGTTAGCTATGATCACACCACTGCATTCCAGCCTGGGCAACAGAGTGAGATGCTGTCTCAAAAAATAATAATAGGCCGGGCACGGTGGCTCATGCCTGTGATCCCAGCACTTTGGGAGGCCGAGGTGGGCGGATCACTTGAGGTTAGGAGTTCGAGACCAGCCTGGCCAACATGGTGAAATTCCGTCCCTGCTAAAAATACAAAAATTAGCTGGGCATGGTGGCAGGTGCCTATAATCCCAGCTACCTGGGAAGCCGAGGCAGGAGAATTGCTGGAACCCAGGAGGCGGAGATTGCAGTGAGCTGAGATTGCACCACTGCACTCCAGCCTGGGTGACAGAGCAAGCCTCCGAAAAGTAGTGGGGGTTAGGACTTCACCATCTTTTTAGGGGAGCACAATTTAACCTGGAACAGGAGTTGCAGAGAATGTAGAGAAGTATTTTAAGACCTCACACTAGCGAGGGAGAGTATAGATGGCAGGAATAGAGGCTTAGGGCAGGAGTGACCCTGTTGGTGGGGAGCTATGTTGGAAGTGAGCCTGGGAGGGATGAGAGAGCCAGGCCAGGAGCGGGAAGCCTCGGAAGGTAGTTGAGTGATGTACGGCTGCACAAAGGTGGGGTGAAGGAAGCAGCCTGTGGTGCAGGGGAAGCCTGTCTGGGAGAAGCTGCTGCCCTTGCCCCCTTGGCTGAAAAGGACCCTCGTAGCTGCTGCCTTTGCTCTGGGAGTTCCCCCCAGCAAGGCCCGCCCCCACCCACTTCCCTGGTGCCCTCACTGCCCGGGACCTGACTGTGACTGCTTCTCTGCAGAGCTGGCAGCCCATGGGGACCTGGTGCAGAGCGCCGTCTGGAGCCGAGATGGAGCCCTGGTGGGCACGGCGTGCAAGGTGAGCAGGCAGGTGGGGATGCCCTGTGGGGCTCTGTGCAGGCCTCCTGGGCTGGGACCCCCTGGGCTGGGCCTTCCAGGCTTGTTGTTTAGGAGGCAGTGGAGCACTGAGGTCAGGATGGTCATCTGTGTGCCCTGCCCCCTAGCTGCTCCTCACACCCCCGCTCACCTACATCTGGAAGCCCCTACCTTGCCTAGGCCCCTGTCAGATGAGAGCCCACGCTGGTCCCTGGTTTGCGCCCTAATGTCGCCACCCTCAGGCAGCCTCCTCTGGCCGCCTGTCTGGTCTGTCTGAACCGCCAGCCTTTCTGCAAGACTCTTGTTAAGCAGCATTCGGCCGCAGGTGCTGGGCCAGGCCCCAGTTGCTGGGGAGGTGACTTCCGTCGAGGACAGTACAGACAAGAGGACCCGTGACCTGGGCTCTGCAAGAGGGACATGGTGCTTTGAGCTGGTTGGACAGGCCAGGGACGCGTGGCCTCAGGCAGGGATCGGGGCCAGGACAGGCAGGTGCGGGGCAGGCGGGTGCTGGGTGGTGAGTAAGGGTTGTGCCTGTTGCCGTAGGGGTAATGGGAAGGCAATGAAGTGTTAAAGGCCAGAGTAGGGCAGGTGGTGCAGTGAGGGGAGCGGATTCGCATTTGGAACCACATGGACAGTGTGTGGCAGGAGGGGCAGTGTCTACAGGGGGATGCGTGGCAGCCTGCGGGGAGGTGAGAGCTGTTCTCTGCCGGGAGTGGCGGAGACCTTTGGGAGGAGGAAGCCAAGTGTTGGAGAAGGATTGGGTGGGAGGCGTGGCGGTCCTGAGGCAGTAGGAGAGGCCTGTCACTGGGACGGGGATGTGCTGTGGCAGAGAGGGGGCGCTAGAGGAGCACCTGGTGTGAATGTTCTAGGCAGAGCCGCTCCAGGGTGGCTGCAGCCTTGCTGAGCTGCCGGCGGTACCTGGAGGTGTCAGTGGAGTCTGGGCCCAGAGGGGCTCTGAGCAGAATCCGGCTGCAGGTGAAAAGGTCCCGTTTGTTTGATTTGCTGACCACATAGTGCTGCCCCCAGGAGGGGATGAGAAGAGCCTGCAGGGGAGGAGGTGGGAGGAGGAAAGCCAGGACCAGGCTGGAGCCTGAAACCAGGGCCAAAGGGCTTCCCCAGGGAGGCGGCCGTGGGTACCACCAAGGGTCTCTGAAGACCTGTCGGGGTTGCTGGGAATGAGGGCACCCATCAGGGCCCTTCTGGAGGTGTGCCGAGCCTGAAGACACATGAAGAATGGCTGAGAGGCCTGGGAATGGAGCCGAACAGGAGCTAGCAGGGCAGGGAGGCCTACCAGACCTGAGCATTCCGCCCCAGGGCTCTGCATACTTGGAGGGACCCTAGTCTAACTTTCTTTTCTGTACTCTGCTTTTGTGGAAGCCGCATCTCCCAGTCTTGATCAGTTTTTCCTCTGTGGTGTGCGTTGAGCAGAGAGTCCTGAGAGACTGGCCTAAGCTCTGGGGGCCAATAAGGCCCCCAGGGAGCCCCTTCTGGGGAGACCTGGTATGCGTGCTTTGACCTAACCCTGCTGGGGACGGCTTCCCAGGCAGAGTGAGCTCGAGGCCGGTCCTTGAGGGATGAGCCCTGGCTGAGAAGGAGGGGACGGGCGTCCCAGGCAGAGGGGATGGCCTGGGTAGTCTCAGCAGGACTCAGGGATGGCTGCCTTGGGACCGTGACATCTTTCTTTGAGAAACTGTCTCTGCCCCTCTGTCACAGGTGTGGTGGTCCAGGCCCTCCTCCTGGGGGTCCGAGCCCTATTTACTATCACAGTTGTGTAGGGAAGGACAGTGAGCAGCCCCATGGGCCACCGGCTTGGCCACTCTTCTCCTTGCTTACTGGTGTCTTGCAGGAAGAGTCATAGGAGTCACAGACGGAGGAGCTCCTGCTGCTTCCCCAGTGGATGTGTTTTCCCCCGCTAAACCCAGAGCTTAAAGTTGCAGGGACGAGAAGCACACATTTCCTAAGTGGGTCGTGGGAGTGATGCTTAGTGGAACGACTCCCCCTCCTTCCCTGGTTCCTGGACCTAGGAATTCCGCCTGCGGGGACGCAGCATTGCCTCCAAGCCGCACCTGTCAGCACAGTCTAGGGCCAATGGGTACCTCAGCCCTGGGTCGGCTGCCACCTTCTTTTGCTGTAAAGGGAGTACATCGGGGTCCTGGTGGGGGCATCCTACACTGGAAACCCTGGCAGTATGGAGCCGGGAGTGGGGGGCGGCCTGACTGTGGTAGGGCAGCCAGTGATGCCCATGAGTGTGCAGAGAGCGAGGGCTTGTCCTGAGCTGTGGCTGGAGCTGCTGGATGGGCCCACCCCACACCAGGAGCGAGCGTGAGCCCCTCTTTGCAGCCGCACCTGGCTCTGGGTTTATGCACTGGAGCTGCTCATGCCACGGGCTGCCTGATGGGGATGGGGGTGGGGGGTCATGGGACTTTCCACCAGAGTGTGCCCCCACCCCCGCCCCATCTCCTTCCTGGCGGGGAAGCCTCCGTGCCCCTGGCTTCCACTCCTGTCCTGCCTCTGTGTGAGCAGGTCTGCCTCCCAGGACCACCAAAGCCCCCTCCTGCTCCCTCTCAGCTACTCCCACTGGGTGAAGGGGCCTCCCGAGCTGGGAGAGAAGGGGCAGGAGGCCGCTAGGGGGCGCGCTCTCCTCACGGATGGCCCATTCCGGCCTGCTGCGCTCCTGACTCCCGGCATGGTTGAGCCTGATGAGCCGGGGAGGACGCGGCCTCTGCAGCCCAGTTCCTCTCCGCTGAGCCAGAGCAGCCTCAGTGCCCACTCTGAACCCTGGTTTGGACCCCGCGTTAAGCTCCTCCATGAGGGTGGCCCAGCTGCCCTCATGGAGTGTGTGCTGTGAGTTCCGCCCTTAGCCCCAGCGCCCAGCCCTGCCCAGGGGTGGCGCTGTCCGCATCCTCACAGTTCACAGGGCTGGGCGGGTGGCCGGTCGCTGGCTCACGCCTGTCATCCCAGCACTTTGGGAGGACGAGGTGGGAGGATCACTTGAGCCCAGGAGTTCAAGATCAGCCCGGGCAACATGGTGAAACCCCATGTCTACAAAAAAAATGCAAACATTAGACAGGCATGGTGGCACGCGCCTGTGGTCCCAGGCTGAGGCAGGAAGATTGCTTGAGCCCAGGAGTTCGAGGCTGAAGTGAGCTCGGATTGAGCCACTTCACTCCAGCCTGGGCGATGGAGCAAGACCCTCTCTCTTAAAAAACAACAACAACAACAACAACAACAAAACTGGCCGGGTGCAGTGGCTCACGCCTGTAATCCCAGCACTTTGGGAGGCCAAGCAGGCGGATCACCTGAGGTAAGGAGCTCAAGACCAGCCTGGCCAACATAGTGAAACCCCTCCTCTACTAAAAATACAAAAATTAGCCAGGCATGTTGGCATGCACCTGTAATCCCAGCTACTTGGGAGGCTGTGGCAAGAGAATAACTTGAACCTGGGAGGTGGAGGTTGCGGTGAGCCGAGATCACACCATTGCACTCCAGCCTGGGCGACAGAGCAAGACTCTGTCTCAAAACAAACAAACAAACAAACTAAAACCTCAAAAAAAAAAAAAAAGGAAAAAAAGAAACCATAGGGGGCTCGGGGGCTTGCCCACGTCATAGCTGGTCAGTGGTGGTGTTGGCATCTGGACTCGGGCTGTCGGTCTCTGCACCTCTGTGGGGCAGGAGCAGCCCTGACTGCTGGATGTCGTGTCCTGCCCTTCATCTCCTGAGAGCCTCTGTCGCTTGCTGTCGCTCGTGTCCTGCCTGTCTCCTGCTGTCCCCTGTATCTGTCCTTGATCTCTACTTGCTCTCTCTGGCCCGCTCTGTCATTGTGCTCTGTTTCTGTCCCACTCTGTCCTCTCTCATCCCTTGCTGTCCCTCGCTGTTCTCTCTCTGGTCTCTGTCTTCTGTCTCTCATCCTCCTCTCTCTGTCCCTCGCCATCCCTCTGAATCCGAGGTGTGGAGTAGTGGAGTTTTAAGAGCCAGTCCCTGGACTGTACCTGGTGCCCGCCTGGCACGCAGCAGGTGCTTGGTAAACTGCAGCTGGCAGGGCTTTGCCAGGAGCGGCATAAAACCAGGGCCCTGCTGAGGCAGACCAGGGAGACCTGGCTTTTGAGGCCCTCTCCAGACAGGCCCCCGCCTCTGCCAGCCATGCGTGTGCCCACGGCCCCCTTGGTTCCCACCATCTGCCTCCTCACGTGGCCTCTCCTCCCCCAACGCCACACACCAGCAAGTTCCTTTCTCCACCTCTTTGCTCATGCTATTTTACCTTCCTCGAATGCCTTTGCCTTCCCAGCACAAGCTCTGTTTGTCCTTCCATGACCAGGTCTAAGTTCTTCCCCGCGGTTTCCCGTGACAACCTCCAGGCCCCAGAGTCCAGCACTTAGCCTGGAACTTGGTAGTAGCAGGGAGGCTACTCATCTCTCAGGGAGGGGCTGCACATGGAGCGGGAATTCACTTGGTTTTCCCCTGCATTTCTTTTTGGGTTGTTTTAGTTGATGGACTATTTTCGAGAACAGTTTTAAGTTTACAGAAAAAGTGAGCAAGTTGTATAAGGATTTTCCATATTCCTTACCTCCTCCCCCAGTGTCTGTGATGAATATCCTGCGTGAGTGTGGTACGTTGTTTCAATTGAGGAACCAATGGTAAACATTATTATTATTATTATTATTATTATTATTATTATTGCACTGCTGGAGTGCATTGGCACGATCTCAGCTCACTGCAATCTCCGCCTTCTGGGTTCAAGTGATTCTCATGCCTCAGCCTCCTGTGTAGTTAGGACTACAGGCACGTGCCACCACACCCGGCTACTTTTTGTTTTTTTGTTTTTGTTTTTGTTTTTGTTTTTGAGACAGAGTCTCACTCTTGTTGCCCAGGCTGGAGCGCAATGGCACGATCTCAGCTCACCGCAACCTCTGCCTCCCAGATTCAAGTGATTCTCCTGCCTCCCCGTCCCGAGTAGCTGGGATTACAGGCATGTGCCACCACACCCAGCTAATTTTGTATTTTTAGTAGAGACGGGGTTTCTCCATGTTGGTCAGGCTGATCTCGAACTCCTGACATCAGGTGATCCACCCACCTCGGCCTCCCAAAGTGCTGGGATTACAGGTGTGAGCCACCATGCCTGGCCTAATTTTTTTGTATTTTTAGAGATGGGGTTTCACCTTGTTGACCAGGCTGGTCTCAAACTTCTGACCTCAAGTGATCCACCCACCTCAGCCTCCCGAAGTGCTGGGATTATAGGCCTGAGCCACCATACCCAGCCTGATACATTATTATTAACTAAAGCTCACAGTTTACATGAGGGGTCAGTCTGTGTTGTATGTTCTATGGGTTGTGATAAATGCATGACATAATGTAACCACTATACGGAGTAGTTTCACTGCTCTTAACATCCCCTGGGTTCCACCTGTTCATCCCTTCCGCCCTCCTCCCAGATCACTGCCAAGCACTGATCTTTTCATTGTCTGTATGTTGGACTTTTCCAGAATGTCATATAGTTGGAATTATATGGTATGTAGTATGTAGCTTTTCAGATTGGCTTCTTTAACTTAGCAATGTATTTTTGTGGGCTAATAGCTATTTTTTTAAATTGTGGTAAGAAAACACATATCATAAAATTTACCTTCTTCTTTTTTTTTTAGCTTGCTGCAGCCTCAAACTCTAAGGCTCAAGCAGTCCTCCCACCTCAGACTCCTGAGTAGCTGGGACTACTAGCACGTGCCACCACGCCCAGCTACTTTTTAAATTTTCTGTAGCGACAGGGATCTCACTGTGTTGCCTAGGCTGGTCTCAAACTCCTGGGCTCAAATGATCCTCCCGCCTTGACCTCCCAAAGTGCCAAAATTCACCATCTTAACCATTTTTAAGTGTACAGTTCAGTAGTGTTAAGTATATTTACACTGTTGTGAAACAGATTTGAGAATTTTCTCATCTTGCAGAACTGAAACTCTATACCCATTAAACAGCAGTTCCCCTTTGCCCTACCTCCCGGCCCCTAGGAATTGGCATTCCACTTTCTGTGTCTATAATTTTCTGTGTCTATAATTTGACTACTTTAGATGCCCCACATAAGTGGAATCATATACTATTTGCTCTTTTGGGGCTGACTTATTTCTCTGAGCATAATGAAATGCTGCATCGTCAAGGGTTACTCGTGGCGTGCAGTAGGATTTCCTTGCCTTTGAAGACTGCATAGTATGCGCAGACCACATTTTGTTTATCCATTTATCCATCAGTAGATCTTGGGTTGTTTCCACTTCTTGGCTATTGCGAGTAGTGCTGCTATGAACATGGGTGTGCAAATATCTCTTCATGGCCTGCTTTCAGTTCTTTTGGATATGTACCCAGAAGTGGGGTTGCTGGAAGACATGCTAGGTCTATTTTTAATTTTTTGAGGAACTGCCATACTGTTTTCCATAGCAGTTGCACCATTTTACAATCCCATCAACAGTGTGCAAGGGTTCTAACTTCACGTACCCACCAACAGTTGGTTTTGTTTTTTTTTTTTTTTTGAGACGGAGTCTCGCACTGTCACCTGGGCTGGAGTGCAATGGTGCCATCTCAGCTCACTGCAACCCCCGCCTCCTGGGTTCATGCGATTCTCCTGCCTCAGCCTCCCCAGTAGCTGGGAACACAGTCTCACACCACCAAACCCAGCTAATTTTTGTATTTTTAGTAGAGACGGAGTTTCACTATGTTGGCCACACTGGTCTTGAACTCCTGACCTTGTGATCCGCCCGCCTTGGCCTCCCCAAGTGCTGGGATTACAGGTGTGAGCCACCACGCCCAGCCTTGCAATTTTTTTTTTTTTTTTCAGATGGAGTCTTGCTCTGTTGCCCAGGCTGGAGTGCAATGGCATGATCTCGGTTCACTGCAACCTCCACCTCCTGAGTTCAAGCAATTCTCCTTCCTCAGCCTCCCGAGTAGCTGGTATTACAGGTGCACGCCACCACGCCCGGCTAATTTTTGTATTTTTAGTAGAGACGGGGTTTCACCATGTTGGCCAGGCTCGTCTCGAGCTCCTTACCGCAAGTGATTCCCCCCAGCCTTGGCTTCGCAAAGTGCTGGGATTACAGGCGTGAGCCACCGCGCCCGGCCTGATACTTGCTATTTTTAAAAATGTAATAGGCATCCTAATGGGTGTCAGGGGATATCTTACTGTGGTTTGGATTTGTGTTTCTCTAATGGTTAGTGATATTGAACATATTTTCATACGCTTTTTGGCCATTTCTATATATATATTTTTAAAATGTATATTCAAACCAGGCCTGGTGGCTCACACCTGTAATCCCAGCACTTTGGGAGGCTGAGGCAGAAGGATTACTCGAGGCCAGGAGTTCAAAACCAGCCTGCTCAAGATAGTGAGACCTCATCTCTACGAAAGAAATATTAAAACATTAGCAGGGCCTGGTGGCTTGTGCCTGTGGTCCCACATACTTGGGAAGCTGAGGTGGGAGGATTGCTTTAGTCCAGGAGGTTGATTTGCAGTGAGCTGTGATTGCACTGCTGCGCTTGGGCCTGGGCAACAGAGCGAGACTCTGTCTCAAAAACAAACAAACAAAAAAGGCTAGGCACAGTGACTCACACCTGTAATCCCAGCACTTTGGGAGGCCAAGGCAGGCAGATTACCTGAGGTCAGGAATTCGACACCAGCCTGTCCAACATGGCAAAACCCCGACTCTAGTAAAAATACAAAAAATTAGCCTGGCGTGGTGGCGTGCACCTGTAATCCCAGCTACTCGGGAGGCTGAGGCAGGAGAATCGCTTGAACCCGGGAGGCAGAGGTTGCAGTGAGCCGAGATCGCGCCACTGCACTCCAGCCTGGGTGACAAGAATGAAACTCCATCTCAAAAACAAAAACAAATACAAAAAGAGAGAAATGTCCATTGATGGACTTTGCCGTATTGCTCAGGCTGGTCTCAAATTCCGGGGCTCAAGTGATTCTTCCACTTTGGCCTCCCAAAGTGTTGGGATTACAGGCAGGACCCACTGTGCCTGGCCTACGGCAGCTTTTTTGTTTTTTTTTTAGACGGAGTCTCAGTCTGTTTCCCAGGCTGGAGTGTAGTGGCACGATCTCGGTTCACTGCAAGCTCATTGCAACCTCCGTCTCCCAGGTTCAAGTGATTCTCCTGACTCAGCCTCCCGAGTAGCTGGGATTACAGGTGCGTGCCACCATGCCCGGTTAATTTTTGTATTTTTGGTAGAGACGAGGTTTCACCTTATTGGCCAGACTGGTCTCGAACTCCTGACCTCAAGTGATCTGCCGCTTCAGCCTCCCTGAGTGCTGGGATTACCAGCATGAACCACCTCTCCTGGCCATACTTACTATATTTTCAATTTAAGACGGGTTTATTGGGATGTAACTCCATTGTATGTTGAGGAGCATGAGTATTTCAAGTTTTTTTTATCTGTACTGGTGCAAATGATGTTGTTTTTCTTTCTTTCTTTCTTTTTTTTTTTTTTTGAGATTGAGTCTCACTCTGTTGCCCAGGCTGGAGTGCAGTGGTGCAATCTCAGCTCACTGCAACCACTGTCTCCCAGGTTCAAACGATTCTCCTGCCTCCGCCCCCTGAGTAGCTGGGATTACAGGTGCCTGCCACCATGCCCGGCTAATTTTTTTATTTTCAGTAGAAACGGGGTTTCACCATGTTGACCAGACTAGTCTCAAACTCCTGACCTCAGGTGATCCACCCACCTCAGCCTCGCAAAGTGCTGGGATTACAGGCGTGAGCCACCATGCCTGGCTGGTGGTGTTTTTCATTTCAAATTCCAGTTGTTTACTGTTTTTCAAAATATGAAAACAGGAATCTGTGCTGAATGAAACAAAATAGACCTGTGCTAAGACGTAAAAAGGAAAAGTTAACCAGCCCCCATCTTCCCCACCCTTGATACCTAGCATTAGCACACAGGCCTGTGTTAGTCCAGACCTTTCTCCTTGCTCAGCAAACTTGTAAAATGTATGGGCTGTATGATAGTTGGGTATCAATAAAAACAAACAGGATCGTGGTCACACAAATGGAGATTTTTGTTGATTTTTACCACAGTAGAATCACACTATGCCATGTTATTCTACAACTTCCTTTTTGCACTTAATTTATTATGGCCAAACATGGTGGCTTACGCCTGTAATCCCAGCATTTTGGGAGGCCGAGGCGGGCGGATCACCTGAGGTCAGGAGTTTGAGACCGGCCTGCCAACATGGTGAAACCCCGTCTCTACCAAAAATACAAAAATTAGCCAGATGTGGTGGTGGGCGCCTGTAATCCCAGCTACTCGGGAGGCTAAGGCAGGAGAATCGCTTGAACCAGGGAGGCAGAGGTTGCAGTGAGCCAAGATTGCACCATTGCACTCCAGCATGGGTGACAGAGCAAAACTCTGTCTCAAAAAAGAAAAAAAAAATTATTATGGCCCAGCCTGTAGTAGTGGATACAGATTGTGCCCTGGTTCTTTATGCATGAATGTTTGTGTACACACACACACACAACGTGTGCATGCACACACACATTGTTCCACAGAAAGAAGGTCTATACAAAGCATGAGTGCTTTATTTCAGTACATTTTTTTCTGCTTTTTGTCTGTTTCCATCCTCCCTTTGGATAATCTGAATCAATAACTGCCGAATGGATGGTTCGGAAGTGTAAGCTCGTCTTCCTGGTTAGTGCTAAATTCTGTAAGTGCAGAAATGAGGTCGTCATATGAGCCTCTCCAGGCTGGGCCTAGTACAGGGCTGAGCATGTGTGGGGCGCTGACAGCCTAGAGTTTGGTTCTGGACCTCCGTTTGTCTGTCTGTGAGGGATCATGGTGATAGTACCACTTCATAGGGTAGTTGGAAGAGTAGGAGGGGTCGAGTGTCTGGGATGCCTGACGTGGAGCAGGTCTCAGGAAGCTGAACACTCCTCACTGAGTAGGTCTCAGGCAGCTGAACACTCCTCACAGAAACCTGGGGGACTGGGTGGTGGTTGCTGCTGTGCTGAGGAGGAGGAACAGGGCTGAGGAGGGATGCCCTGGTGTGTGATGGCAGCCCTGCGTGCTGGGGATGGGCTGCTCAGAGCTGGGGGTTGGGAGGTGAGGGGAGCAGGCTGGCTTCCAGGGACCCTCCAGCCCTAATCGCAAGTTGTTTCCTCCTCTCTGCTTTTCCAGGACAAGCAGCTGCGGATCTTTGACCCCAGAACAAAGCCGCGGGCCTCTCAGGTGAGTTGTGTGGGCAAGCTGGGGTGGGTTGAAGCCTCCACTGAGGCTGAGGACCCAGTGGTTCTAGCAGGTGGAGGTAGGGGCAGGCCTGGGGTCCTGGCAGACATGTTCTGCAGCACCAGGGGTCCCCAGGAGGTGGACCACCACTGCTGGGAGCTCTTCCTGTGAAGTGTGTTGTGGGTCCTGGGAGGGCCTGGCTTTGATCACCGGGTGGCAGAAGCTAAGCTTCCCCCAGGCTCTCCACGGAGGCCATCGTGTGGCTTCAGGCAGCGATCTGGGATTCCCACTTCCTTCCTTTGAGACCTTCACCCTGGCACGGTCAGCAGAGACCAGCTGCAGAGGAGCCAAAAAGAAACAACCCCTGTCCTCTGCAGGAAGACCCTGGGTGGGACCTGTCAAAACGTACAGGGTCCAGGGACTGAGCGTGTTCTGGTTTGTGTCTGTGCATGGAGTGTGCGTGGCCATTTCAGTTCCAAGCGGGGAAGCTGGGACCTGGCTCATGCTGCAGGCATCCAGCCACTGGGACACCGTTCATTTGCCCTACAGAGACCTTGTAGGCAGGAGCAACAACCCTGGGACAGGGCCCTGTGTCTGGCTCCGTAAACATTGCCTGTGCTAGGCAGGTAGTTGCTGGGGGCTTCTCTTGCTGGGCTGGTTTAGTGCTTCCCTGAGTAACTGGCCCGGGAGCAGAGGCCTGAGTAATGCCAAGGGGGCAGACATAGATGGCCTGAAGGAGGACGGGCTTGTCTGAGGGGTCTGCGCGAGGGGCGCTGGGGGATACGGGCCCATGGTTACCTGGGCTGTGGGAAGCCATTAGAGAGTTTTTTTTTTTTTTTTTTTGAGACGGAGTCTCGCTCTGTCGCCCAGGCTGGAGTGTAGCGTTGTGATCTCGGCTCACTGCAAGTTCCGCCTCCTGGGTTCACACCATTCTCTCACCTCAGCCTCCCGAGTAGCTGGGACTACAGGCGACCGCCACCACGCCCGGCTATTTTTGTTTTTGTATTTTTAGTAGAGACTGGGTTTCACCATGTTAGCCAGGATGGTCTCGATCTCCTGACCTCGTGATCCTCCCGCCTTGGCCTCCTAAAGTGCTGGGATTACAGGCCTGAGCCACCGTGTCCGGCCACCATTAGGGAGTTTTAAGCAGGAAGTGCGATGAGTAGATTTACATTTCTTTTTTTGGGTGGGGAGATGGAGTCTTGCTCTTTCACCCAGGCTGGAGGGCAGTGGCGCAATCTCGGCTCGCTGGAAACTCCGCCTCCTAGGCTCAAGTGATTTTACTGCCTCAGCCTCCTGTGTAGCTGGAACTACAGGTGCCCGCCACCATGCCCGGCTAATTTTTTTGTATTTTTAGTGGAGACGGGGTTTCACCATGTTGGTCAGGCTGGTCTCGAACTCCTGACCTTGTGATCCACCCTCCTCGGCCTGCCAAAGTGCTGGGATTACAGACGTGAGCTACCGCTCCTGGCCATGGATTTACATTTCTAAAAAGAACTTTCTAGAAGCTGAGGAGGCTTATTCCCTGAGGAAGGTGAAGTTTAGGGTCCTACTGTTAGCTCAGGAGAGGAGCTCCCCAGCAAAGACCTAGGCCCATCATAGATACCCCCTCCCCATTTCTAGGACGTTTTCCCCACCCGGGGTCAAGGGCAAACCACCAGCCCAAACCAAACTAGTGGTAGCCCGGAGCCCCAGAGCCCCCTACACACACAAGACTCAGGAGAGAAACCCAGTCACATGGAAGATTGCAGCTTTTTAGTCCAAACGGTACAGTCAGTTCCACTTTTGTCCAGCTGAAGACCGAGAGGACTCCCATTTAAGCAGTGAAACTAGCCAGGCAGGGTGGTTTTGGCCACACCCTGGTCGTACTTGCTGGTGAGGCTGGCTGACCTCTTCGTCATGTGGGACCTGGGCCTGGTAGATGGTGGCTGTCTGCATCTCAAGGCAGTGTGGGTGTGTACGGTATCCTCACTAGGTAGCTTTCTTTGACCTCCAAGCCTTTGCCCAGAAAGCGGGGCCCAGGCTCAGCTTGAAGGTGCCACAGAGGCTTCCCCCGGCCCCCTTCACTTTCTCAGGTTGCACTCTCCTCTCCAGAGCCCAGGGCACTGCTGGGGCACCTATGCTTCTGCCCCCGACCTACCGGGCATGGCTCTGAGCCAGCTCACTGGGCCCACGTGATTCTTCCTATTCTCCCCTCCTCCGCCCCCTCTTTCCAGCCTTCCTCCTCCTCTCCCCTCCTCTTCCAGCAGGGCTGGGGCGGTGACTGATGCCGAGGTGGGGATAGAGTGGCTGCTATCCAAGGGGCTCCCAGCTCCTCGAAGAGAGAGGGAGAGGATCTGGTTCTGGAGGGAGCCCCCCTGCGGGGCTTTGGGGCGAGGAGACCTGGGAAGAGCGTGGGTGGCTCCCACCCCTTCCAGCTGCTGGCTGGGGCCTGTGCTCGGGCCCTGGTGCGGGGGCAGCAGGCCTGGAATGCCGCTCTCCGTGTGGCCCTGCCCCCCACTTCCGCCCAGGGCATCTGGCCCACACCTGGCTTCTATTAGGAAAACCGCTGCTGGCAGCCAGGGCCGGTGTGAGCCGAGGGGCCGGCTCGAGGGAGAGGCCTTCTGGGAGCTCCTTCTCTGGCAATCCTCCTTCCTGCCTAGTGGGGTGTGGCTGGGGGTCAGGGAGCGGGGCCGCCTGCCCTCCATCCAACCTCTGTCCTCTGTGGGTCCCACCCCACCTGAGCCCTGGTGCTATCCCGGAGCCCAGAGTGGGCCAGGGAGTCCGCCCTCCACTGTCTTGTTGGAGCCCTGCCTCAGGCGTGAGCTTTGAGCAGGGGACCCTGGGGAGGCTCCTCCTCACACCCATGCTTGGTTCTTATACTGCATGTATGACCCTTTGTTATGCGCCAGGCACTTGGCATATTCCACTTCCTCGGAGGTGCAGACCCCGAGAGTCGGATGGTTCTGTGGCTTCTCCATGGTCCCACCTCAGGGTGACAGAGGCAGGCTCGCCCCTCTGGATGCAGAACCCCCAGGACCCCCACTGCCGCCCCTTCCCTTTACAACCGGCCCAGCTGGGGCTGGGTGAGGCCCTGGAGCCCAGGCTGTTCTGGGAAAGTGGCAGCCCCAAATGAGTGTCGAGGCCTCAGAACCCTTGTCTGGGCGGGAGGGGGCCCCGGATTGAGCCCTCTAGGAATCTCAGTGCATCAGACAGGCCAGTGGGGGGTGGTGAACCTCAGAGGAGGGAAGGGGGTAAGTGGGGGGTCTTACTATTGAAGCAGGTCCCCTCACCCCAGCAAGGAGCCAGGGCTGCTCCTGGAACCATCCTGCCCTGCACAGGAAGTGTCGCCATGGTGATGAAGGGGCGGGCACGCGCCTCCCCTCCTGCACCCCCTGCGGGGCTGACACTGCTCCTGCCCTGCCACAGCCCCTCCTATTCTCAGAGCTAGGTGGTGGGGGCCCTCTTGGGGCTGCAGGGTAGCAGGATGCCTGGGTCCCAGCTGCAGCCCCTGTTCTTGCCCCCTATGCAGGAGAATGAGGAGCTGGGGAGACGGCTCTTCTCTGAGGCTTGCTGAGGCTGGCAAACGGGTCTCGCTCTGTCGCCCAGGCGGGAGTGCAGTGGCGCCAACACGGCTCACTGTAGCTTTGACCTCCTGGGCTCAAGCAATCCTCCTGCGTCAGCCTCCCTGGTAGCTGGGACTACAGGCACGCACCACCACGTCAAGCTAGTTGGGTTGTTTGTTTGTTTGTTTTTTGAGATAGAGTCTTGCTCTGTCACCCAGGCTGGAGCACAGGGGCACAGTCTCGGCTCACTGCGAGCTCCACCTCCCAGGTTCAAGCGATTCTCCCGCCTCAGCCTCCCGAGTAGCTGGGATTACAGGCGCCTGCCACCATGCCCAGCTAATTTTTGTATTTTTGGTAGAGATGGGGTTTCACCATGTTGGCCAGGCTGGTCTTGAACTCCTGACCTCAGGTGATCCACCCGCCTCGGCCTCCCAAAATGCCAAGATTACAGGTGTGAGCCACTGTGCCGGCCTAGTGTTTGTTTTTTTAAGAGAGAAGTTTTCAGTTTGTGGCCCAGGCTGCTCTGGAACTCCTGGGCTCAAGCCGTCCTCCCACCACAGCCTCCCAAAGTGTTGGGATTACGGCAGGTACCATTGCGCCCAGCCCACCTCTCATTTTTGATACTGGTGATCACTCCATTGATGAGGAGTTACAGGGTAAGGGGTGGGCCACTGACCCCCTCCCTCACCTGGGGGCTTCCTGTGGTCTCTGGGCAAACTGAGCTGGGTGTACCCACATTGGGGAGTGGCTGGGCACGGACAAAGCTCTTACCTGGACCTCTGAAGGCTGGGCTGAATGCTCCAGGGAGCAAGAGCTGGCCCAGGATGTTTGCTGGAAGCAGAGCGTTTCTGGGGCAGCTGTGGTCCTGGGCGGCTCCTCCTCCCTTCCCTGCTGCCTCCTAGCTGCGACTTTGTGCAAGCCTCATCACCACTCTGAGCCTCACGTCCATCTTGTGCAGGTGGAGGAGACAGCTGGGGCCAAGCCACTTTGCACCATGGCTTCGTCTCTCTGTGCCTTTAGGCTTCCCACATGTGAATTAGGAAGGTGGGAGCTACAGGCCAAGGGCGTCCCACCCCTAGCCTTAGCCTGTGCCCCTAGGTGAAAAGTGCTCAGTGGCAGCCCCTGGGGGACCCTGCAGGCTTGGCCCAGCCTCCGCCTCCCTCGTCCCCACCTGCTGGCTGAGCGGGTCTCTCTGCTTCCAGTTTCCAACTCTTTGCAGATGCCAGTTCCCATACCTGGCTCACGCCTATCAACCCTCCCAGCCTAGCAGGAATGACGCTAGGTCTTCCCTCACTTACAGTCTGGCGGTACCCTGCTATCAGCTGTGAGACATGCACACTTGACACGTGTCAGACACAATCCTGAGCCTTCTACAAGTGTTCCCTCTTACTCCTTGTGGCCGTCTTCAAAAGTAGGTCCTTCAGCACCATAGGAAAGGTTAAAAAAAAAAAGTAAATTCTGTTACAGTGCTTTTTACAGACATGGAAACTGAGGCACAGAGCTAGTGACTGACCCACCAAGGGAGGTGGCCAGGCTGGGGCTCTCCTGGGTCCACCTCCAGAGCTTCCTCCCCTAACACCGTGCGGCTCCCCCATGGCATGCATAGTCACAGGGAATGACACACTGATTTCTCTTTGGCCTACATCTACCTCCCCGATGTGTTTATTCCACGGGCACAGGGACTTTCCCCATTTTATTCACCATGTCATCTCGAATAGTGTGTGGCTCAAATACCCATATGACGAGAGAACAGATGAGTGAGGGGCACTGCTTCCCCCCAGCACCTGCCCTCTATCTGAGAACCATCCGGCCCCACTGCCAGCTCCTAGCACAGTTCTGGCCCCTGGGAGGCCTTGTGTGTTTCTTGAATGAATGAGTGACTTTTGGACAAGCTAAGAGCCACCTGGTGGGCTGCACACACGCAGATATTTGCACAACAAACACCAACGAGAGGGCAGGAGCCTGAATGACACTGTGACCCTCTCCGGGTGTTGAGGGCAGGGCTGGCCAATGGCTCGACCCTTGTCCTGACCCGATATCCCCTCTTACGTGGAGAGAGGGCAGTGGGGCCTTGGTTCTCAGGCTCCAGCCCCAACTTCCTGTGCCGGCCACAGCCTGGTGGGAAGGGAACAGTGAGAAAAGCCCCTCGAAGGACGGGACCTGGAGCCGTTTCCGATGGTCTCCCACGCTGGAGTCAGCCTCCACGGGCTGGGGAGGGGGCCCCAGGCCAGCTCCTCGCAGGCTGCTTCCCTCCCTCATTCATTCCCAAGGAGATCGTGGGAAGTTCGGAGGAAGCTGGCCATGGTTTGGGGTGAGCTATTTTTGGTAACAGGGTCCTTCGTCTCAGGCTCCAGGGGCCAGGGTGACTGGGAGGAGCTGTTTGCATTTCCTCTGGCCCCCTCAGCTCCCCACTGCCAGGGCCCAGGAGGACAGGGCCCCACCCACCATGTGAGCTTCCCTCTCCTCCCAGGGGCCGGGAGCCTTCCTGCTGGCAGCTCCAGCACCTCGGGAGGGCCAGGAGAGGCACTACTTGGCGCTCTCTGGACGTTGCCCAGAGGTGGGTCCCAGGCCCTGCCTCTTGCCTGGGGCAGCCACAGTGATCCTCGAAATCCCCCAGTTTACACGGTGCTTTGCCACAAGCCCTGCCCTTCCACATGGTGACAGCCCTGGGAAGCGGGTGGCACCGCATCGTGAGCCCCTTACACAAGCGAGAGAAATGAGGCATTGACAGAGTGTGACATCCCCAGGATCACACAGCTCTTAGGGGCAAGAAAGTGCCAGTGCCTTTAGCCCCTGGCGCAGCAGGGAAGGGGCCTGGAGCTGGGGAGTGAGGCAGCCCTCTCCTTGGTAGGAGGGACACTCGGGAGGAGCAGCCAGGTTGGCCTCTGGGTGCAGAGCTGCCCTCAACTGGGGCGGAGGCGGGGCTGATCCCCGGGGTGCTTCGGAGACCACCCTTGGTCCCAGTGGGGACGTGGAGAAGGACCCAGCCCTTCCCACCCTCTGTGAGGCTTTCAGGCAGGTGGGCAGCAGAAGTTCCCCAGCTCAGGCCCATTCCAGGGGGCCCCGCCCACCAGCAGGGCCCTGGGGGCTCAGGTCCACCTCTTGCCTCCTGCAGAGCACGCAGGCCCATGAGAACAGCAGGGATAGCCGGCTGGCATGGATGGGCACCTGGGAGCACCTTGTGTCTACTGGATTCAACCAGGTAGGGGGTTCCTCCTGGAGGAGCAGGGCACGGCCAGGTGGGGACATGTCCAGCCCTTTGGGCGGGGACGAAACCAATGGGAGGCGGGGGACTGAGGGCCAGTTCCAGGCCTGTCCATATACGGCCTGGCTGTGCTGCCGGGTCTCAGAGCCTCAGGGGACTGACGGCTGCTGAAAACTGGCAGATTCCATTTGTAATAGCTCAGCCTGACCCCAGGAGCCATAGTGGCCCTACAGGGACCCGAGAACACAGAGGGAACCGCCCCTCATCCTTTGTCACCTAAGGGTTCTTAAAGGGGCAGAACATGAAAACCCAGATTCTCTTTCCCTGGGGTGACTCCCACCCCCACTCCAAGCCCTGCTCTGGGGCAGGTGCCCCGTGTCAGGCTGCACCCTCAGGCGCTGGTTTCCCTGGGAGCCCCCCGGGTGGGGCTGAGGGACAGGCCCCTCTGAGCCCCTCTCTCGCCCTCCCTGCAGATGCGTGAGCGCGAAGTGAAGCTGTGGGACACGCGGTTCTTCTCCAGCGCCCTGGCCTCCCTCACCTTGGACACCTCGCTTGGGTAGGAGCTGCGGCACGCAGGTGGGCTGGGGGGCTGATGACCCAAGGCGCCGCAGGTGAGGGCACCTGATCCGGCCTGTCAGTGAGGCGGGCTGATCTCCGGGGTGTTCTGGGGTACCTGATCTGGGCTGCAAGGCCTTGCAACAGACACCTGGCCCTGTACCCCCGGAGCTTCCAGATGTCACGAGCAGCAGGTGCTCAGGTGCCCCTCTGGCCCCTGGTAGCAGAGTGGGCCCTTGGTCACCAGAGGTTTCATGGCTGGGGGTTGACACAGGTATGCTTGGCATTCAGGGAGAGGGTGTGATCCAGAAGTGCAAGAATACGCTTCATTTTTCTGTGGATGTTCTGGCAGGGCTGAGGCCCAGGGAGGCTCCAGGCTATGATAGGAGGGTGGACGTGGGCATTGTTGGACAGCCTGGCAGGGTGGGGGTGGGGGTGGAGGTGGAGGTGGAGGTGGAGGTGGGCCTTGGCTTATGCGGCCCACTGAGGTTTATGCGGCCTACTCCACACCAGCCACATGGCTGTCCTGTTCTATCCTGAGGTATGTCCCCAGGTGGGGCTGGTGCCCAGGCAGCCTGGGGGGCTCCAGGTGCACCTCATCCTTCCATCTGCCCCCAGAAGTGTGTGGAGAGGGCTTTTGGCAGTGCCTGGCGGGGTCCTGGCCAGGCACAGTCAGCTGTGTGCCGAGATGGCCTTGGCCCACTGCGGCTCAGGAGCCAGACACCAGGAGGCCCAGGGCAAGCATTTATGAGTGACTCATCTGTTCAGACCACCCACAACACAGCTGGGGAGACTGAGGCTGGGGGGGGTGTTCAGAGACGTAGCCAGGCAGGGCCGGGGTGGAGAGACAGGGACTCCATCCGCCTTCTGAAACTTCAACCGTGACTTATAAGGGCCTTGCTGGAATCTTCACAGGCAGGGGGATCCGAGAATGTCAGAGCCAGGAAAGGGGTGGTACTTGGCAAGCTTATTCATTCTTCCATTGCATAACTGAGGAAACTGAGTCACAGGCAACAGTGACCTGTCCAGGCTCTGGGAGCAGCAAGGGTATGTGTCTGGGGGTAAGGAAGGCTGCGGGATCTTCCGGGGAGTCCCCAGAAGAGCTCCCACCTGAGTACCAGCGAGAGCTCCTGCCAAGGGCTTCCCCGGGCTGAGAGCCGCCCAGAGGAGGGGTAGGGGTCAGGGTGACAGTGACGCCCTTTCCCACCCTGTCACACCCAGGGAGGGGCTGAGAAGCTGGCAAGGCCCATTTTACAGATGAGGGAGGCAAAGGTGAGCAAGATTCGGCACCTTCCCTGAAGCCATATGGAGGGTAAGAGGCAGAGTCAGGGCTGCCCTCAGCCTCCTGCCTGCTCTGGGCATTGGAGATTCAGGGAGGAGTCAGTGGGACCCGCCCCGCCTTGAGGAGTCGGAGCTCCCGGGCCTTCAGACTCCACGTCTAGGATCTGGCCCCATGTCCCCCATCCCAGGCCCGGAGCTGCCTGGCATCTTGTCTTCTAGACCTTTCTAGGTCAGACAGCCCCTTCCCTGCAGGGCCCCCAGTGGAGGCATTTGTGTGAAGGGACCTGGCACCAGTCACTTCCACCCACCACTTCCTGCCTTCCAGGCTCTGCCCCCAGTGACAGGGTCCCCATCCCCTGAAAGCGTCTCCTGCCCGGCCCCAGTGTGGCCTCTGGAGGAGTTAATGATGCCCAGACCTCACGGTGCCACTGGCCAAGGCTGACCCTGTAATTACCACAGTTAAGAATAGCCTCGAAGGACCAGTGAGGACTGGAATTTCTCAAATCACTCCCAGATGGGTGGCCAGGCTAGGGTCCTCTCCCCTCTGCCCCCGAGCCCTGGCCCCTGCTCTGCCAGCCCCCATGAAGCTGGTGGATGCCAAGGATGTGTGCCAGCCCCCCAGCTGTTCTGAGAGGTGGCAGGTCCCCTGCACCCCCAGGCGTCCTGGAAGCTGGAGCCCCCCACTAACTCCCTGGGGTGCCGGGGCCTCTGAGCAAATCTAGGCTGAGCATGGAAAGTCTGGAGTGTCATCTGTGGGCACGGCTAATGGGGAGGTTGGCAACTGCATCCACTCCACCACCCTCGAGTTCTTCTGTTTTACAGATTTTCCATCTTGGCTTGGGCAGAACAGTGTGTGCCCTTATGAGAGCTAGAGGAGGCCAGGGTTCGTGCACACACCCCGTCCCCTCCTCATCCTCACCCAGGGGCCTCCGCTGTGGTCCCACCTATGCCCTTCCCCTGACATTTGTGGAGTATCTAAGGGGAAGCCAGCCACAGTGAGAGGAGCAGGGGCTGGGAGCCAGGCCAGCCTCGAACACCAAGGTCCTGTCTGTGCTCAGGCAGCCTCCACGGAGGGCTGCCCAGCACTTTGTGTGCTTGGTACCATGCTTGGCGCAGGGTGGAGGTGGGGGGATAACGAGAGGGACTGGCAGCCTGCACTGAAGGAACAGCTCATGCTTTGGTCTTGGAGATGCAGAGATACACCTGTCTTGGGTGCCACGCTTCTGGGTGTGAATTGAGCGGGGATGAGTGTGTGAATGCCTGTGAGGGGGCTGGGTGAACTGTATCACCCCCTACCCCCATAGAAGTAGGGTGTATTGCTTCTGTAGCTCACAGTGGCCCTAAGCCCTCCCGCGTGGCCGGCAGCCCCACCCGTGGCTGGGGAGCAGGTGCTGGGGTCCTGTCTCCACTTACTGTGAGCATGTTGTCTTCCCTCCCTGTGGCCACTCCTTTTCAATAGACGAGGTCGCCGGGCATGAAACAAGAGCATGTGTCACCCACATGGCCCAGGGCCTGCTGCAGTCAGCACCTGGTGATGGGGGCTCGCACACCCCCACGTCTGCCCCTGGTCCCTGGCCTAGAGTCGGGGGGCTTGTCCCGGGTCGAGGCTGCATCTCAGCTTGGTCGCCCCCTGGCTGGGTTCTCCCCTTCCCCGAAGCCCTGATCTGATGGCACACTCCAGACACTGTTCCAGGGAAGGCTTCCTTTTTTTGGGCCCTGCCACCCCCCCGCCACTGCCCCCTGCCACCATCCCACTCGGCCAGGTTTGCTTTGCAGTGAAAACATTTCTTCAGCAGCCGCCGTGTTCAGCAGCAGCCTCAGGCCCACAAAGGCCCCTTTGACGATGCAGCCACGGGCCGGGGGAGGCAGGCCTGGCCGCAGCCACTCCCCTAATGGGACCCAGGCCTACAGGAAATCCACCTGGGCTGCCGCCGCTGCCTCAGGAAGAAGGGGCCCCACCCAGGCCCACTGCCACCACCCACTGCCCGCCATGACCCACGGCCCGCCTCCTCCCTCCTCGTGCCAGAGCCCTCAGCAGCCGCTAATTGAATCCAGAGCCTCGCGTGGCTGGGCCTGACTCGGCACTGACATCAACACCCGCGCCACGGGGCCTGCTCCCTGGGTCTGGCTGGGCTGACTCTGTCCCACCAGGGGTGAGCCTGAGTGCTGGGGGCCGGGGCCATGACCTGTGGGACAGTGGCATGGGGTCTGCAGGAGGCTCACTCCAGCATGTTCTGGGTGCCCCTGCAGCGGCAGCCCAGTGGGTCCCCTCCCCTCCATCCCACTGAGGGTAACAGGAAAAGGTGCTGTGTGTCCATCACTGTCCCCAAGCCCCCTGCACCCAGTCCAGGCCACAGCTGCACTCAGCATCACTGCCCCCACCTCAGCATGCAGCCTTCCTGGAAAATGCTCCCACTTCTAGGGTTTCCAGAAAGCCTGGGCACATCCCTAATGCAGGGGCTGAGGGGGCATCCCAAGGCCACCAATCCTGGCACCGTCTGCAAGCCAACCTGGGCCCTTTGTTCCTGTCCCCCAGCTTGTCCTGCTCACTGGGGCTCGGCCCCTTTCTCCCCACCCATGGGGTCCCTGCCTTTGATGATTCACACTTCCCCTCCCACCAGAGCCCTCGCTGTAGCCAGGGGCAGGAGGCAGGGAGCAGGATTTCCTGCTGCGCCCATGGTGGGCAGTGGAGTGGCATGGGGCTGGGGCCATGCAAACCGCTTGGCTCTCCCGGGACGCTGTAGAGAAGGTCCCGGAGGCCACTTGCTCCCGGGACCATCCATGAGGCCTGGAATGAGAGAGCCCAGGGCCCTGTCCCTGGAGGAAAGCAGGCAGTGAACTGCCCATCAGACCAACCCACAAGGGACTCACCTGGCCCCACATGTGCCACAAGCCTCTCCCAGCCGCACATGGGCCAGAGCCCCTGCTGGCAGAAGACAGGGCCTGGGGAAGGTGAGGCTCCCTGACCCGTTCTTGTCCGAGGCCAGAGGCAGCCCTGCTCCCACCTGGGCCCAGCCTCACCTCATTCAAGCCTAGGGTGGATGGCACCCAGGTCAGGACACCTGGGAGGGCTGCCCAAGCCCAGGGGCTGCTGAGGGGCCCTGGCTCCCCAGAGCGAGGGCCACTCCTTCTTCATCTCCCTCCACCCAGCCCTTCTACCCTGGGGCTGAGCCCAAGAAACACACTTCATCTTTTATTTTTTCTTACAAAAGGCCTTCATATCATCGTTTGTCTTACAAAAACCAAAGTCCTTGTCTCTGAGTTTGAAAAACATCTTCCCAGAATAAATGGGAAAGGATCTCTTATAAATATATATATATTTTAAAAAAGCAAAACATGTTCCTAAAGCATCTTCCTTTCCAGTTTCTTTTGTTCCTTCGCTTCCTGGGGCCAAGACTAGAGTCACACAGCCGCCTACCCGCTCTCCCTCTGCTCTTTCCGGGAGCTTCCTTCACTGGCCCCCAGGGTCCGCCTGGAGTGGGAGAGCCCAGCAGGGCCCAGGCATGCGTTACCAGCACATGGCAGGGCCCGCCGTGCCCAGGGACTGCACGTTGCGGAGGGCAGGGCGGACACTGTCCTCATAGGCACTCGGTTCTGGGGACGTTAGGGCTCGTCAGCTGGGCCACAGCATCTCACAGATGAGGAGACCGAGGTCCAGAGGGAACAGGGCCCAGCTGTGGTCACACAGCCCTGTCTGCACACATCCCCGAGGTTGGGACTGAGAACTTACGTGGTGTGGCAGCAGGAGGGGGCTGGCCATCTCACTGGCTGAGAGCCCGGCCCCAGCTGCCCTGTCTCTCTCTGGCTTAGATGTAGGGCTTTGCGTGGAGGGGTGACTGGAGGCCAGGCCCTGGGAAGCCCATGAGTGGCACCTCACACTCAGACCCGCTGGGCAGGGCCTCTCCACCGCCCTCTGTTGCCTTCGGGCCTGGCTCCAAGGGGACCTTCACTCCCTCCAGTTCCAGGGGCCCAGCCCCTGGCCCCACCTGCCCTTTGTCCTGAGCCGCTGCTGCCATGGCCCGCCCCCGCCGCACACAGTAGGCTGCCCCCACCGCAGCCAGCGCGGCCAGGAGCACCGCGGCCAGGGCGGGCGCAATGAGGAGCGGCAGGTTGCCCTCGCGGGCCTGGGTGACTGGGGCGTGGTTGGAGTGGACGGCTGGGGGTGTATGGGCCTCCCCGCAGGCCTCCTCGCCCTCCGGCACCCGCCCGGGCCCCAAAGGCATGACACAGACGGAGTAAGTGGCGTTGGGCCGCAGCTGGGTGACCGTGTACTCAGCGAGCGAGGCAGGCAGTCGCAGCGTCACCAGCCGCTTATCAGGGCCCGATAGGTTGCGATAGGTGAGACGGAGGCTCCTGAGCTGCACGGAGCTCCCCTGGAGGTAGCGCTGCAGCCCCACGCGCAGGGAGGTGGGGCTCACCGGCTCGATGCCCAGGGTCAGGGACCGTGGTGGCCTCGGCGTGACTGGTGTAGGGCTGGGCCGTGTCCCCTGCCCCATCTGGCTCTCACAGTACAGGCCCGTGAAGCCTTCGGGGCACAAGCACGCCAGGTGGTGCCGTGTCCCCAGGTGGCATGTGCCCCCATTGAGGCAGGTGGACGGTGGGCAGTCCTGGGGCTGGGGGACAGGCCCTACAGTCGGTGGGGCAGTGGAGGGCGGGCTGGGGGCCTCAGTGGCCGGCTCTGTGGGGCTAAGCCAGGTAGGAGCCAAGCTAGAAGACAAGGCTGTGGGCTCCCGCACCACGGGCCTCGTGGTGGGCACTGTGGCTGTGGTGGTGGTGGCTGGGCAGCCAAAGTCGGCGTAGTCAAGCTCCAGGAGCAGCCGGCCAGCGTTCTTGGGCGGGAAGTGGCAGCGCGTCTCCTCAGGGCTGGCCAGTGTGACGTGGCTCTCGCGCACCCAGGGGCCAAACCAGCTCAGGGGGCACACGCAGTTGAAGGGGTTGCGGGCAGCTGCCAGCAGCCGCAGGCGGGGGAAGAGGCCCGAGAGGTCGCCAGGCAGGGCCTGCAGGCTTAGGTTGCTCACATCCAGCTCCTGCAGGGCAGCCAGGCCGGCCAGGTCCTCGGGCCGCAGCTGGGCAATGCGGGTGTTGCCGGCCAGCCGCAGGCGCGTCAGGCCCCGGAGGCCTCGGATCACAGGTGGCACTCGCTCCAGCTGGTTGTCGGACACATCCAGGTCGTGGAGGTTGCGCAAGCGGCTGAAGAGCCCCTCGTCCAGCTGCTGCAGCCCCAGACCAGCCAGCCGCAGCGCCTCCACGTTGGCAGTGTCCAGGATGCCGGGCTCCAGGGCCAGGAGGCTGTTGTGGCTGAGGTCCAGCAGCAGCAGGCGGGGCAGGCGCAGCGGGGGCAGTGCCCGCAGCTCGTTGTCCTGCAGCTTGAGCTCCAGGAGGCGGTCGAGCGTGTCGAAGGCACCAGGCTGGATGTGGCGGATGCGGTTCTTGCCCAGGTAGAGGCGCTCGAGGCGCCGCAGGCCACGGAAGGTCTCATTGGTGATTTCATGCAGCCTGTTGGCTGTCAGGTCCAGGTTGCTGAGGTTGGCGAGTGGCTGGAAGACCCCGCTGGGCAGGCTGGCGATCTGGTTCTGTGACAGGTCCAGGAGCTGCAGGCCCGGCAGGCCGGCAAAGCTGCCTGCGTCGAGCATGGTGATGCCGTTCTCAAAGACGTACAGCCCCACCGTGTCGGGTGGCACGTCTCGGGGCACCGTGGTCCCCTGGCGGGCAGTGCAGAAGACTGTCTGTGGCTGGCTGCACTGGCAGCCGGATGGGCAGCCCTGCACCCCAGGCCCCAGGGCCAGTAGCAGGAGCAGCGGCAGCAGCAGAGGGACCCTGGAGCACATCTTCTGTCCCTGGGAGCAGAGAGGAGGCAGAGACAGAAGACTGTGAGTCAGGGGCCTAGAAGGCAGACACGCCAGGAAGAGCCAGAGGGAATTCACTGCTTCTGCCCCCAAATGCAAGAGAACCCAATGGTTATGAGTCAGGTCGCCAGTGCCCCGACCCAGGTTCTGTCCCAGCCCCGTCACTCCCTCACTGTGTGACCTTGTCAATGCACACAGAGGTCATCATGGGGCATGACATCCACTGAACGTGCAGTGACCATGCACTGCTTCCTCCTGAACCCCAGGCCCTCCTGCCTCTGCCTAGGTAGGTTCCCCCATCCCCTGCCTCAGAGATGGACCAGGAAGGAGAGAATGGTGGGACTTGGAGCGGCAGCTCCTCCCTACAGGGTCTGGAAGAGGGGGCAGGCAGGCAGCTGGGTGGGTGTGTAAGCAGAGAAGCTGGCTGCCTTGGCCGCCGGCTCCTGCTGCCACGCTCCGTGTCCCGCCCTCCTTGGAGGAGGGAATGCAGCGGGAAGACTTCACATGGAAACTATGGGATCCATGTTTTTCCACTTGGGCAGTCAGACCTGCTTAGGCTGGGGGCTGCGGGCCGCCAGGAAGTGGCCGGCGGGAAGGTTCCTGGAGGAGGGGCAGAGGCCACAGGCATTGGCAGGTGTCCCCTGTGAGGGAGGGAGGCGGGGAGCTGAGGCTGGTGACAGAGCTGGAGCTGGGGGGCCACAGGGCTCAGGTGGGGACACTGGCTACATGGCAGCCCCAGGGGCAGTGCCAGGCCTGGGAAAACTCTGCAGAGTCATTCATCTACTTTTTTTTTTTTTTTTTTGAGACGGAGTCTTGCTCTGTCACCCAAGCTGGAGTGCAGTGGCGAGATCTCGGCTCACTGCAACCTCTGCCTCCCAGGTTCAAGCAATTCTCCTGCCTCAGCCTCCCATGTAGCTGGGACTACAGGTGCCAGCCACCATGCATGGCTAATTTTTGTATTTTTTTTTTTTTTTTTTTTAGTAGAGACAGGGTTTCACCATGTTGGTCAGGTTGGTCTGGAACTCCTGACCTCAGGTGATCTGCCCGCCTCAGCCTCCAAAAGTGCTGGGATTACAGGCATGAGCCACCGTGCCCGGCTTCGTCTACTGTTTCTTGGGGTCTGCCCTGAGCTGGGCACCAAGAAAGATGAGCAGCAGCCATCCCCTTGGCAGTGATGGTGCAAGTCCTTCCCATGTGCCAGCGAAGTGGGAAGGACGAAGGAACACTAAGTGTTTACCGTCACCTCAGGTAGCCCCCCAGCAGCCACGTCAGGGCAGACAGAAGAAAGCAGGGCTCATGGAGGTGCAGGGACTCGCTGCCATTGCGGTGCCAGCAAGTCCGAGCTAGAGCCCAGGTGTGCAGCAGCCACCTGTGAAGGGTGCGTGCCCTCCAGATGGCCCTGGGGGCGGGGGCTCCCACCAGCCGCTCCAGGCTCCAGATCTTAGCTGCACTGCCCAAGTCAGGCAGGTCTGTGGCTGGCCCCCATCACCTAGACTCCTGGGGAGACCGCTGGGGCCGTCCCCAGGAAGAGCCCTCCCCACTTTGGCACCCCTAGAAGTCCCTGAGCCTCATACGGGGTGCCAGCCCATCCCCAGGAAGCATCCTGCCCAGTGGCGCCTGCAGCTCACACAAGAGCCCTTTGTGCTGGAGTCCGGGCTTCCCCTTCCCCCACACAGGCTGTGCAGGTAGTCCAGGGAACACGACCCCGACCCAGCCTGCACTCCGCCCCAGGCTGGGGGGACCCGTCCATAGGGCTCCCTCTCCCCCAGGTACGTGGGTTCCTGGAATGTGAGGAGGAGCAGGTGGTCCCAGGACAGATTAGACAAGTCACTGGTGAGGTGACCACTGGGGTCTGCGGGTAGCTCGAGGTGAAGGAAGAAGCCCTTGTCCCCGGGGTTGGGCCCACGCAGGCCCTGCCCACGTGTAGTATCGCACTGCCAGAGTCGTCTCCCCTAGGAGCTACCGACCCTGAGCCCCTAGCCAGTTAGCGACAACAAGCACCCTTCAGAGGCCAGCAGGCTAAGCCTCCCCAACCTAGCGGTGTCCCCCTTGCTGTCGTGTGCCCCCTCACCTCCCTAAGGTGAGACCCAGCCTGCCTTTGCCATAGGTGTCTCCAGGCCCACTTAGCTCAGGTCTGCTGAGTGAACAGCCCAGGAGGGCCTGGCACTGAGCACTGGAAGAAGTTAGCACCCCAAACCCCAGGCACGCGTCCCTGGCCCGGCCAGCCCACCCCAGGGGGGCTCGTGTCTGATGACCTAAGGCCCTGGGGCCACACCCCTAGCCTTCTCTTCCCCCATGGGACCCGCTCCACCCTCACTGACTCAGAGGACGGCGGGTGCGGCCTGGCCTCCAGATGTGGGCTGTGAGTGACCCCCACCCACCCCATGTCCATATGGGGGGTGAGGCCACCTCTGCCTGAATTAGCCCTCCCAGCAGGGCCAGACCAGGGTCAGGAAGGATGCAGCCAGGTTCCAGAGTGGGAGGGGATCCTCCACGTGGCCAGCCTGGCCAGCCTGGCCACCACTGTGGCCGCAGCTCCCCTTGGGCCTCGTTTAAGGTCACAGTTAAGAGCGCTCACTCCAGGCAGGCGGCCCTGTGCTCAGAGGTGTCCAAGCTGTGAGGCCGCAGACAGTGACTTTGCTCTCACACCTCGGTTTCTTCATCTGAGTATCTGGGACACTTCAGGGCTGCAGTGGGGGATGCATGTGGAGTCCTCAGCCCTGCAAGGCCAGGTGTGCAGGCCAGCTCTTAGGGGCACGTGCTGGGGGGTGCTCTTCACCCTGCACTGGGGAGGGGGACCAGCCATAGCTCTGGGCTCCGTAATCTGTTGGGTCTTTAATCAGCAAGGTTGTGAAGGGAGAGGGGATGCTGTGGGTCCATCTGGCCACAGGGTGGCTTTCCGGCTGACAGGTAGTGAGCTGTGGAATGTGCGTTCCTGTTAGCAGGACAGGGGTCTAGGTCAGGACTGTGGGCTGGGGTCCTGGGCTGACCATCCAGCAGGCGGCAGCCAGCCTGCTTCCCAGCCCCGTAAAATGTGCGGTGAGCTCTTTTGCCTGAGCCCCAATTCTACCCCCACATCAAAGGGAGGAGGGAGGAGGCAGCGCTGGAGCTTTGGAAAACCCCAGAGTTTGTAAGCTACAGGCTGGCAGCTCTGAGGGCACCGCCAGGGACTCCTGGCACTGAGAACCCATCAGCCAGCCCCGAGAGGAACCCAGCGAGGGAAGGCTGACTGTGGAGGGGACGGTGGCAGGGGACAGAGGCCAGAGTTCCTTTCTCAACTGTGGGCCTCAGTTTCTCACCTCTGGAGTTGGTGCAAGCAGCCCTGCCCCCTCACCCTCTGGAGTTGTAGTTTTCTGTTGTTCTGTTTGTTTTCAAATGGGGAAGTTCTTTTAACAAGTTCTGGGAGCTGTCCCGCCCGCCTGGGGTCTGGGCGTGTGCTTGGTGTGTGCGTGGGGCTGGGGGCTGTCTACAGGTCACACGGTGGTTGCCGCCGCCCACCCACCCTCCCACCCGGTGATCCCAGGACCTGGGCTTTGATATTTGATCACTAGTCAGGCAGGGAGGTGAGACCTTTTCCTCTGCCTGGTGCAGGAGGTGTTCCGGAGGCAGCCCTGGGATTCCTGGGATTCGGGGACGTCGGGGGGTGGGAAGATGACGCAAGGGTCTGGGGCCTCCGTCCTCCACCCAAGTTCCTCAGCCTTGCTGAGTGCTGCTGCCGGCCTTGCTCCCTCCCTGGCACAGTAACTGGCATAGGGCGACAGGGTCCACAGCCCGGCCACGACCCCTACCTCAGCCCCCATTGTGCAGTGGGCGCTGCTCGTGGTGCTCGTGGTGCCTGTGTCTGGGGTGACTTGGTCTGTGCTCGGAGCACTTGCCAAGTGGTCGGTAAACATTCACTGCGGAGGGCGTCACTCATAAACGCAGAACTCTGCCTGCCCCCTGGGCGTGGGTACTACTAAGGGAGAGGGTTTCAGGCCAGCTTTACACAGATCAGACATCCCCACACCAAGGCTGCCCTTCACCCTGGGGGCTGGGGAGCGGGGGTGGGGTATCTCTGGTTCTGGAAGGGGGCACGTGGTGGGTGAGCTGTCCCTTGGCGGCCCCTTCAGCACAGGACTTCAGGGAGGGGCCCTATGAGTAAGGAGGACAAGGCACTCGTCATCTCAACTCCCAGGGGGACGCCCACCCACCTCTGGGGTACACCACACACGCCCAGGGTCAGGCGGGGACGGGCCAGGGGATAGCATGGCTGGGGTGGGACCCAGGCATCTGGTGACCACATCAGCCCCTGGCGAGAACATCTCACTGATTCTGGGGCAGGCGGTGTGCCTGCTGAGTAGGGGACAGGCTTGGACAGACAGATAGACAGTCTGAGGCCAGTACGCCCCTCCTGTGCCGTATGCTTCAGCGTGGGTGCAGGACAGGCGCTGCAGGTCTGACCCTGAGACTCCGGGCCCCCGCTCCTCATGCTGGCCCGCCAAGGCTCTGTGTGGCCGGTCAGGCCTGGCAGCAGCCCAGCCCCGGGAGTCTGCCAACCCCTCCAGGCAGGCGGGACTGTGCCGGCGGCCAGGACGGCTGGCTCCAGTTTCGCTGACGTGTCCGAGGAGGCTCAGGGCCCGGCTGGGTCCGCCCCGTCTCCCCTTCCTTGGGACACAGCAGTCCCAAGGGCAGGGCAGAGAGGTCAGGGGTCGTGGGCCCTCACAGAAGGGGCAGAGAGGGCTGGGCCTCGAGTTCCTCAGGGACTGCGGCAGGTAGACCCTCCCTATAGGCGCGGGGACCCCTGGCTGGTGATTGAGCGGGGGTCCCCATGGGTGTCAGCCTCTTTCTTACTCCATCCACCACCCCAAGCTGGCGCTCTTCATTCCACAGATAATGCCACAGCCAGGAGCTCAGTCAGGCACTCACACGCTTTGTGACCTCATCCAAGCAAGCTCCCCTCTCTGGGCTTCCGTCTCCCACCTGTGACGCCAGGGCTTTGCCCGCCGGGCTGCACATCAGAATCATCCAGGAAGCTTTCTAAAAAAAACCTCCATGCTGGGGCCCCACCCCCAGGCCAATTAAACAAGAAATTCTGCCGGGCATGGTGGCTCACGCCTGTAATCCCAGTACTTTGGGAGGCCGAGGTAGGACGATCACGAGGTCAGGAGATCGAGACCATCCTGGCTAACATGGTGAAACCCCGTCTCTACTAAAAATACAAAAAAATTAGCCAGGCCTGGTGGCAGGCGCCTGTAGTCCCAGCTACTTGGGAGGCTGAGGCAGGAGAATGGTGTGAACCTGGGAGGCGGAGCTTGCAGTGAGCCAATATTGCGCCACTGCACTCCAGCCTGGGTGACAGAGCAATACTCCATCTCAAAAACAAAAAGAATGTCTAGGAGTGAGACCCAGGCAGAGCTGTATTTTGGAGAAGCTCCTTGAGCGAGTCCTCCGCACAGCCAGGGTTCAGAACACCAGGACAGAGGGTTGCAAAGGGGACAGTCAGGATGTCAGCTCGTCTTCCTGTGCAGGGAGGAGGCTCTGTATCCTGGAGCAGGTGTGGACCAGCTGGCAGGGCTGGGAGAGGGGCAGGCACAGGGTCTTCCCTCCTCCCTCCACCCAGGAGGCTGGCCCGGCCCCAGGTGGGTGCCTTCAGTAGCACCGTGGGTGACTTGGCAGCTGCCAGACCTGTTAGCCCAGGGCAGGGAGACCAGTGACTAAGGCCAGGCCCCAGCTCAAGTGAGCCCCTGGGGCGGTGGGACGTGCCATCGTAGTCACAAGAGGTGCAACCTGTCAGGGAGGACACCTGTGGCCCTGGGAGCTGTGCAGTGGCTGCAGCCCAACTAGAAATGGGCCAGTCCAGATGCCACTTTCGGCACGCGGCAGGTGTGATGCCACCAGGGCTGGGCCCTCACACGGGGCCTCCTCACTGCCCTGTCCCCACCCAGGGGCAAGCACCCATCTAGTAAGGCCCTAACCTGCAATTAACCCTGAACTTGCCAGAAGAACACCTTAGTCACCAAGGAAGGCCGCCAGCCCTAAGCTTCCTGGGCCTGGGGGTCTGAGAAGGAAGTGGCCCTGGAAGGGGTCTTGCCCTTCTCAAGCTCCCCATGCCGAACCCCCCACAATCACCCAGGGTTCTTGGCCAACCCGTGGCAGAAATGGCGCCCCTGGGGTCTGTGAGCTGATCAATGGGCAGGCGGGATGGATTCAGGGAGGCAGAACAGGACCTGGCCACTGAACCACAACCCTGCCCCCGCACTGCTCTCAATGCCCAGCCGGGCTCGGGGCCCAGGGCCAGCAGGGGCCCCAGCGGCCGCCCCAGCCCCTTCCCGGTGTAGGCCGGCTCCCTCCTCCCTCCTTAATTAAATCTCTCAGGCAGCCCCTGAGGAATGTCAGAACCTTATTGCATTCCCCACGAAGAGTCTGGTGGGGGCCGTCCCGAACCCTGAAGAATAACTGGCCCCTCGCCTGCCCCCACCCCCTGCCCAAAACCGAGGTGGCCTGAGGGAGCCTCCTCCAGCCTCCTCACACCCAGGGAGGCTGGAATGAGGAAAAGCGGGGGAGGCCGGCGGCCCAGCGCGGAGGGAAAGCGATCCGGCTGACTCTGGAATGTGGAAACCGATAAAAGGAAGGAGGCTGAGGCCCTGCCCCTCCTGGTGCAAGCAGGCTCCCCCAAACACCCCCACCCACCCCCAAATACACAGCCCTGCTCCAGTCACGCGCACACAGACACGCCCACGCCAGACACACGCCCACTGGGCAGTGCTCCTGCAGACACACACACACACACACACGTGCACCCTCCCCCTTCTCCAAGAACTCACGCAAATTCCACAGCAGTGAGGGGAGCTGGTTTTCTTGGCAGCACAGAGCCTTGGGCTCCCCAGCCCAGGGAGGGGACTCTAAGGGCAGCTGATGGGGGGTCCAGGAGAGGTCACTAACAGAGTTAGGTGGCCTTGCTGCCCTCCCATGAGCTCAGGGCTGGCCAGTGGTCAGGGATAGCCATCCCTGTGGGCAGCCTCCCCTCTACACACCTCTGCTCACTGGCAGGACTGGCTGTCTGGCCTGCTGAGGTGGGAGCTCCCTCCTGGGCTCAGCAGGGCCCTGCTTTCTTGTTCCCAGAGGCTGCCCAGTGTTGTGTTGGGACCCACTTATAAGCCCAGGCAAGGACTTAATTTTCTGTACTTGGGACTTGTCCCAGCTCCCCCGGGGCTGTCAGTGGGGGTGACAGTAATGGGAGCTAGGAGCCGCGGACCCATCTCCTGCCCGGGGCATCTCCCTTGCCATCTCCCTGGCCCCTGGGCTGCGTGCCAGAGGGGCCTTCCTCGGGTAAGCACAGGTCTGGGCAGTGTCTGAGAGGCTCCTTATGCTGAATCCCATTCTCCCATTCCCAGAATATGGAGAGAGAGGTGCCATCTGGACAAATGCCCTGGGACCCCAGCCCCCAGCCCCATCCCCATCTGACCCTCCGGACCCACAGGTAGCAGGACAGCTGTTCCAACGTGCAGGAGACAGGGGCGGGGTGGGGACAGGCAGTGCCCGGCCCCCAGGCTGGCATGTGTGTGCGCATCCTCCCTCCCCAGGCCCAGGGGAGGCTAGATAATGGTCTGGAGGGGATCCAGCTGGGCTGCTCATCACCAGAGCCTCTTCCTGCCTCTGACACTCTGTTTACAGAAGCTCCAGGCCAACTCCCCTGGGAGAAGAGAGTAAACTCAGGGGACTGCTCCCCATCCCCCACCCGCCTGCCCCAGCTCTGTTGGGTTTTTGTCAATAGCTGGGCCCATCCTGGACTTTGCTGCCCCCTGGACTGGCCCTAATGGACCCTGCTTGGAAGGTCCCAGCCCGGCCACCCCTCTATGCCCTCAACACCCAAAGTACAGTCTAGTGTGAAGGGACCTTGGAGATTTTATCCAATCCCCAGCCCTGGAGGCTCTCAGCCTGGGGAAGGGGGCTCTAGGTCCCGCTGCCTCTCTCCAGAGCCTCACCTGTCCTTGGTGCAAAAGGCAGGCATGGGGACACCTAGACCCCCAGGACCTCTTCCTTCCACCCTGCACACTCCACCCCTGGGCCACAGCAGGGGAGGCGGTCAGTGACCCTGGTGTGGCAATCGTTAACGAATGGGGGAGAGGCAGAATGGTTGGCACCAATCGGCTGGCCTGCCAGTGACCACAGGGGACCTCAGCAGTCCTCAGGCCCCAGCACTGCCAGCCCAGGGACACAAAGGACTAGGCTGGCTCCAGGCCACTGGGTTTGCAGCCCAAGCAAAGCCCCTTCCCTGGCAGAGGCAGAGACCCGGCACCCTGCCTGATACCCGAAGCTCTAAGGGCCCTGGCCAGTACAGGTCCATCCCCCACCTGGAGGGATGGGCATCGGACGCCCACCAGCCACTCCCCGCCCCTCCCTAGGGCTGCATATCTGTAGCCCCCAGCTGTGCTTTGAGTGACAAGGGTCCAGAGGACCCCGGGCAGCCCTTCTGCACAGCAGCACCTACTGCCGGACCCCAGGAGGGAAAAGTGACCCAAGCCTGTGGCTTGGCTATCCCCCTCAAAGGGGTTTGATTCATAAAACTGGTCATGCCGGAGGCCCAGCCGTGGGAGGAGGAAGCATGGGACGGGGTGTTTATTTTGTCTGCTTGCAGCCTCGCGGGCTCACCGCACACTCAGGCGCGCACCCTGGCCGGCCGCGGGGCTGTCGGCGCCCCAGGACGGCGGGGGAGGGAGCGTACAGGGCCTGCCCGCCGGGCGGCCCAGGTGACCGTGTGGGGCTGGGGCCGCGGTCCCGCCCGAGAGTGCGTGTGTGCGCGCGGCGGCGGTCCCCGCGCGTGTGCACAGCCTGGCCGTGGCGCCCCCTTCCCCGCCCGCAGCCCCCCAGCCCCACAGAAACTCACCGGGAGGCGGCGGCGGCGCAGGGAGCCGGGCGGGGCAGGCCGCGGCCTCAGTCTTTCCTGGCGGGTCGGGCCCGAGGGGGTCCTGGGTCCCGAAGCAACTGCGTTCGAGTCCGCGTCCACCCGCCCCGGGCTCGGGCTCCGGAGTCGGCTCGCTGGAGGCAGGTCGCGCCTTAAGAGTCCCGGGGGGCGGGCCCGCCGCGGCAGGGGCGGGGCCTCTCCCCATTGGCCGGGGCGGAGCCGCGTGGAGACACGCCCCTTCCCCACCGAGGGGCTCGTGGGCCGGGTTGCCCTGGCCCTCACCCTGCGGCCACCTGACCTGCGCGGGGAGACCTTGCCCGTCGTGGGTTTGCCGGATGACACTGGGCAGGTTTCTGCTTTTTGTGTAAAAAGCGAGAGACTATTTAGGAATCCTAAGCGTCACAGCCCAGATGCCTATGAGGCACCAGGCAGGTGACAAATGCCAGAAGTCCACCCCAGGGCCTCTGCGGCCCTGGAGAGGCAGGATGGCGGGAGTGGGGCTGGTAAGGGCTGAGTCCTCATGACCAGCCCGGGCCAGCTAGAGCTTTGGATTTTTGAAGAGAAACTGGAAATCCAGATTTTTAGGTGAAATCTCTCAATGTGTTATTGTTGGTAGCTAATCCCAATTTCAAAAAACTCCTGGCAGCCCACACAAAGCCCTTTCAAGAGCCTCCTAAGTATAAACTCCAATGCCAAATCTGAGCTCAGGGTCCTCTTAGCCACGACAGCCTTAAGAGTTGTGAGCAGCCCTGGACTCTCTTCCCCACCATATTATGAGATGAAGGGGCTGTGTCAGGGAGGGCAGTGGTGGTCTGCCCACGGCCCCACAGTTACTGGCAGCTTCAAGCCTGAGCTGTGGAGGCATAGGGGTGGTCACCGTCGGTGGGTGGGGCCTGGGCTGCAGTTGACAGTGGCCCTTGATTGGGCAGGAGGGGCGGGTGCCAGGGGCCGGACTAGTCCAGAAAAATCCCCTGCCTTGGAGGATTCCAGGAAAACACTCTGCCCTCCTCCCCCTCCGCGTTTGTGGTCAGTCATGCCTCAGAGCCTTTGGGGGCCCAGCTCAGCTCCTGACTTCCGGAGAGCCTTGGGACACCCACACCCCCTCCAGCCCGGCCTGTAGCCAAGGCCCTTGGCTGGGCTAGCTCTAGTCTTTGGGGGGCCTGAAGGCTTATCCCTGGGAGGCTGGGCCACACCAGCTGGAGGGTTTCCTAGTCTCTGGAGGACTCAGTTATCTCCAGAAGGCAGGATGGCCTCTGTGTCTAGCCGTCAAGGGCTAAGCAGGGCCTGGCTGGGACAGTCACCTTCTGGACCTCCCGTCCACAGGGCCCTCTCCCCACAGGGCCCCTTTCCAGGGCTGGCAGGGCTCCACAACCCATACGTTTCTCGGTCTACATGGATTAGGGCATGGCTTGCGGACCTCTGTTCCTGGGTTGGGGCTGGCCTTTGGGTGCATTTAGTGCAGGCTTTATGGGAGTTTTTACAACTTTGAAGGCACTGCTAACATTGAAAAATCAGGTGGTTTCATATTAAAATGGGGCTTCCCAGCTTGCATTGAACAGGAACTCTCAGCTGGGGCTGAGTGGCGGTTGCTCCCTCTGCCAAAATGTGGGCTCATGGGTCACCCCAGTCCCCACCACTCCCTGCTGCCTCCTGCCAAGCTGTCCACTCACTTGAGTTTCCTGCCCGGCCCCAGAACCATCTGAGTTTCCAATCAGTGCTGTGCAGCCTCTTGTCGGACTGTTTCCCTGCCTCTTCCCTTGGCCCTGTGTCCTCTGAAGCCCTCAGAAGCATCCACAGATGCCCAGGGTCAGGGGTAAAGAGGGCTCCAAGAGCCTCCAGCCTGGCTTTCCTCAAGGAACAGGACCTCCTGATGTCCTTGAAGCTTCTCACCTCTGTGGCAGGTTCTTGTAGACGGAGAGACCCCATCTGCCTGGTGTTCACCCCCTGCCCCAATCCTGTGCCCTGGCCTTACACAGGTCCCCACTTACCCAGAGGCTCAAGGGAAGCTTTTAGGAGACCCCTCTCAGTTTATCCAACATTGCCTTGTATGGTTTCAAGGTGCCACCCGCCTTTAGAACCTGGTTACCAGCAGTCTGCACACAGCGGGGGAGCTAGGGGCTGTGGGGGTGGAGGGGGGTCAAAGGATCCTAACTAACTCTCCAGCCTGGGTGATAGGGACAGATCCAAGGGACCCAGCCTGCTTTGAACTGGCGCAATGGCAGAATGTCTGGGTTGGTGGGAAGGGGCCTGAGCGGGAGGGATGGGCTGGAGGGGAGGACAGAGGAGGAGCCTTGCAGCTGCTCCTTGTAGCAAGCACACCCTTGGTGCTTCCCCTCGGTGCTAATCACAGGAGTCCTGGGAGAGCTGGCGGGGCTTATCCGGAGGCTGAAACTGCTCGTGCCTCCCAGTTGGTACTGAGGTTGTCTTCTAGCTCCTGGGACCTGGCTGAGGGGCGGGGGCAGATCTGGGCTTTAGACCTTCTATAACTTTATGCCTGGGACAGACCCCTGGACCTGGGTCAGGGTCAGAGCCCTTCCCAGTGGCAGGCCCAGATTCCAGCAGGAGAGGTGCCGGCAATACCTCTTACCACCTCTGGCCCTCTGCCTGGCTGGGGCTCATGTACCATGTTCCAGACCCAGACCCAGCTTGGCTCTCTTCACACAGCCTGGGGTCAGGCCCATGCCAACACTTGGCCAACCTTTGGGGCTGGGTGCCATGACCCCATTTCTTGGCCCGTGCCACGGCAGACAGGATGCCCCTGCCTGGCAGAGTTGTCCAGATGGCTCTGCCTGAGGCAAGGAAGACTGGCCTGACCTGTCAGAGGAGCCAGCCCTGCCCTCCCTGACTTCCTGCCCACTCGGCCTCAGCTCCTGAGTCAGTGGCTGGCTGGCTGGGACGATGGAACGGGGGTGAGGGAGGCTGAGCACCAGGCCTCCTCAGGCAGTTGGCTCAGCGCACAGGTGAGCCTCTGATGCCATGAGGTGGCCCCAGGCCTGTTTCCCACCTCTCATAAGGGCAGCAGAGGGGCCACAGGAGACCTGCCTATCCTACTTGCCCTCAGCTTCTGTCCTGGCACCTGTTTCCACTCCTCCCAGCCTGTGCCCCCAGCAGCCAGTGTGATCCCTACTCTGTGCCAGTCTGGTCCTATCCTCTTTCTATTTTTATTTTTTTGAGATAGGGTCTTGCTGTGTTACCCAGGCTGATGTGATTTTTTTTTTTTTTTTTTTTGAGATGGAGTCTCACTCTGTTGCCAAGGCTGGAATGCAGTGGTGCAATCTTGGCCCACTGCAACCTCCGCCTCCCGGGTTCAAGTGATTCTCCTGCCTCAGCCTCCTGAGTAGCTGGGATTCCAGGTGCACGCCACCATGCTCAGCTCATTTTTGCATTTTTAGTAGAGACGAGTTTTCACCATGTTGGCCAGGCTGGTCTCAAACTCCTGACCCAAAGTGATCGGCCTCCCAAAGTGCTGGGATTACAGATGTGAGCCACCATGCCCAGCTGGCGATGCGATCTTGACTCACTGCAGCCTCAAACTCCTGGGCTCAAGTGACCCTCCTGCCTCAGCCAGCCGAGTAGCTGGACCACAGGTGTGCACTACCACAGCAGGCTAATTTTTAATTTTATTTTTTGAGATGGAGTCTCACTCTGTCACCCAGGCTGGAATGCATTGGTGCCATCTCGGCTCACTGCAAACTCCACCTGCCGGGTTCAAGTGGTTCTCCTGCCTCAGCCTCCCAATTAGCTGGGATTACAGATGCACACCACCACACTTGGCCAATTTTTGTATTTTTAGTAGAGACAGGGTTTCATCATGTTGGCCTGGCTGGTCTCAAACTGCTGACCTCCAGTGATCCACCCACCTCGGCCTCCCAAAGTGCTGGGATTACAGGCGTGAGCCAGCATACCTCGCTAATTTTTTAATTTTTAATTTTTTGAAGAGCCATGGTCTCATGATGTTGCCCAGGCTGGTCACAGTGTTGACCTACTGGGCTCAAGTGATTCTCCCACCTCAGCCTCCCAAAGTGCTGGCTGGGATCACAGACATGAGTCACTAGGCCTGGCCTAGCCTCTTTTGCTTGAAACGCACCGTCACCTTTTCATTGCTCGTCCACTGGAGGCAGAACTCCCCCTCCCCACATGCACCAGGCCCCTTCCCGTCTAGCCTCCACCTGCCCATCCTGAGCCTCAGCCCTCACCCACACTGTCCAGGCTGTCAGGCACATTGTCCATCTTGTTCCTCAAACAGGCCATGAACCCACCTGCCACAGGACCTTTGCACAGGTTGTGTTCTCTCTGAAACTCTCTTCCTGTGAGGTGTTTGATTTCTGCATGACCTTGGGATCGCAGGGATCACCCCTTCCCCCACTGCTGAGGCCCAGTCCCCCTGCTCTGTCACTGTGTGTCCTCGGTGAACCTTCCCTTCACATGTTTGTCTATGGGATTGTGTCTGTCTGCCTCTTGTGCTAGGCTGTGAGCACCTTGAGGACAGAGGCAGGGTCTGTTGCACTCATCTCTGGGCATACCTACATGCAGGTCGAGCCGAGGACCAGGCACAGACCAGCTCATCAAAGGAGTGAATGATTGTGAACGAATGAATGAGTGAAAGCCCTGTCAAAGCTGCTGAAGGGACTTGCTTCCAGCCCCAGTGGAGCCAGTGTCAGTGTGGAGGGCACTCCAGGTCACGCACCACCTTGGTCCCCTACCCTCCGCCTCCGCCTCCACCTCTACAAGCAGTGGTCAGGCCGGGATGCAAAGGGCATTGCTGAGCCCGGCTCACCCTGCTGGGCCCTCAGTAAGTAGGGGCCTGTGTTACTCACAGGTGACCAGCCCAAGGCACTCCAGGAAGTCATGGAGACACCCAGGGCCCCACCCAGCTTCCCAGCCACTCTGTGGCTCCTGGAAGTGTGGGGAGGGGAGGTGGGCAGGACTGCTTAGTGGTCGGCTGGCAGGAGGGGATGGGTGGACAGTGGAGGGCGGCTGGGCCCTTTGTCACCGCAGTGAGGGATAGAGGCAGCTGCCACAGCTGGGTGACCTCTGACCCTGGCAACACAGTGGGGACGGGGTCCTGTTTAAGGGTGTCAGTGTCTGGGTTGGGAGGGTCCAGGCCTGCAGGTCCCAGAAACAAGAAACCAAGACCAAGTGCAGTGGCTCATGCCTATAATCCTAGCACTTTGGGAGGCTAAGGTGGGAGTATCACTTGAGGCCAGGAGTTTGAGACCGGCCTCGGAAGCATAGTGAGACCTTGTTTCTACAAAAATAGAAGTAAAAATAGCCAGCCATGGTGGTGCACACCTGTAGTCCCAGCTACTCTGGAGGCTGAGTGGGAAGATTGCTTGAGCCCAGGAGGTTGAGGCTGCAGTGAGCAATGATTGTGCCACTGCACTCCAGCCTGGGTGACAGAGGGAGACCGTGTCTCTTAAAAAAAAAAAAAAAAAAAAAAGCAAAGATCAGGAGCAAGAAACACAGGAAGGCAACTGGGCATCTGGGCATCTGTCAGAGTCCTTCCAGGTCCCCATTCCCCTCAAAAGGCCCTGGAGTGGGAAGGCAGCTCTCACAGGGCTGAGGGGCTGTGCAGGGGTCTCTGAGGGGCCCCGGGAGGGAGGCATAAAGCCCGGCCAGTGACAGGCAGTTGGCCAAGGCTGAGCTGGACATAGAGTGGCAGGGGCTCTGGGGGCTTCCGGCCCGCCCACTCTATTCCCAGCTGCCACCCCGCCCTGCTCCTGCCTCGAGACCAGAGAAGGCCTGGGAGCATGCTGCTGGCAGGCTCGGCCGGGGCAGCAGGCCTGGGGTGTGCAGGGAAGCCCAGCGGCCGGAGGAGCCCCTTCTCCCGGGCACGTGGCTCAGATTTGGACACAGGAACTTTAACTCAGCATGGGGGGGTCTCTGAGCTTCCAAGATATCACTGAGGCACAGGAAACGTGGGGTAACTGAGTAGAGGGCCCCAAACCTTAGTGCAGATTCGGAACGGCAGGGCTGCCTGCACTGCTCCCGGATGCTGCCTGTCCACAGGCAGTGCCGAGTGGGGACGGGAGGCTCCTCGCCTCCGGCCTCACCTCTCCACCTTCCCTGGCAATGCTGGCCTGATGTCTAGGCTGTCGAAGGTGGGAGGGGCACAGAATGCATGTGGGGTCTTCTTGGAGGAAGAGCTGTGGCTGAGATCGGGCCCGAGTTCCCCTGTGCCCACTCCAGTCCTGGAGTGACGCAGGTGTGCAGGTGGAGGCCCTGGGGAGGAGCAGCTGGGGTGTGGGCGTGTGTTGGGCATGTGGGAAGCTCAGGAAGAGGAGGGGGTTCCTGGGGACCAGGCTGAACATGGCTGGATGGCCAAGCGGCTCCCAGTCACTGTGGTGCCTGTCCTGGGCTCCTACATGGGGTTACGAGTCTGGCAGCCCTCCCACTGCCCTGACCCGCCATCTTGCCCTCTCTTCCCCAGGTGTCTCGTGCCTCTGCTGGACCCTGACTCTGGGCTCCTGGTCCTGGCAGGAAAGGTGAGTGAGAAGCTGGGGCTCCCACCCACATCCACAGCCTGGAGTCCAGCCCCTGGCCTTCCCCAAGAGAGAGGAGGAACTCGAACAGGGCCTCTGTGTCTTCCCCTGTGCAGCCAAGGTGACTGTAGCTCTCCTAGAACACTGGCCTTCCTGAGAACAAGGCCGAGAATAGAGCAGTGTCAGCACACAGTCAGCACTCCATAAATACTGACGTACACCCCCGGTGCTCACCCCATGTGCAACGAGGCTGAGCAAGTGAGGTAGTCAGCCTAGGGCTCAGCTCAGCGCCCAGCATGTTGGGGAGCCCCATCTCCAGCCACTGTGGTTCTGTGGCTCAGGTCCTTGGGGACCTGTGGGGGAGCTGATGCCAGTCCTGGGCCCTCCCCAGGGGTTCAGTCAGCAAACGGGGCTCAGTTCAGACTCATTTCAGGGCGAGAGGCAGCTGTACTGTTACGAGGTGGTCCCGCAGCAGCCGGCGCTGAGCCCAGGTAAGCCTTGCTTCCTCGCCCCCATCCCCTACCCTCCCCTCCCCTGCCCATCCTGCCTGTTCCCCTATGGTGTCCTCAACAGTGACCCAGTGTGTCCTGGAGAGCGTGCTGCGTGGGGCTGCCCTTGTGCCCCGGCAGGCGCTGGCCGTCATGAGCTGCGAGGTACTCCGCGTCCTACAGCTGAGCGACACAGCCATCGTGCCCATCGGCTACCATGTGCCCCGCAAGGTGAGGGGGACTTGGGCGAGGGACTGCGGGGGCTGGGGAGTCGGGGGGCCTGGGCCTCACTAGCTGCCTGCTTGTCTGCGGCCAGGCTGTGGAGTTCCACGAGGACCTGTTCCCGGACACTGCCGGCTGTGTGCCTGCCACCGACCCCCATAGCTGGTGGGCTGGGGACAACCAGCAGGTAGGACCAGGGCTGGCTCACCTCTCCCAGCCTCCCCGAGTCCCTGGTAGCCCCGTGTGGCTGTGTGCCAACTCAGTCTGGCCTGCTGGGTGCCCCCCATCCCTACCCAGTTGACCCTCCCATGGGGGCCCTCCTGACCGGGCAGCCCATGCCCCCATCTCCCCACTGCCGGCCTCCATGCAGGTGCAGAAGGTCAGCCTCAACCCCGCCTGCCGGCCCCACCCGAGCTTCACTTCCTGTCTGGTGCCCCCTGCGGAGCCCCTCCCTGACACAGCCCAGCCTGCGGTGATGGAGACACCCGTGGGTGATGCAGACGCAAGCGTAAGTACCAGGGCCGCCCCCATCCTCCCTCAGCGACACTGCAGTGGCTGCCCTGAGTGTTCACCGGCTGAACGGCCTTTTTTTTTTTTTGAGACAGTGTCTCACTCTGTCACCCAAGCTAGAGTGCAGTGGCGCAACCTCGGCTCACTGCAACCTCCTCTTCCTAGGTTCAAGCGATTCTCCTGCCTCAGCCTCCCGAGTAGCTGGGATTACAGGCATGTGCCACCATGGCCGACTATATTTTAATTTATTTTTTGAGACAGAGTTTCGCTCTTATTGCCCAGGCTAGAGTACAATGGTGTGATCTCGGCTCACTGCAATCTCCGCCTCTTGGGTTCAAGTGATTCTCCTGCCTCAGCCTCCCGAGTAGGTGAGATTACAGGCACCCGCCACCATGCCTGGCTAATTTTTGTATTTTTAGTAGACATGGGGTTTCACCATGTTGGTCAGGCTGGTCTCGAACTCCTGACCTCAGGTGATCCACCCGCCTCGGCCTCCCAAAGTGCTGGGATTACAATCATGAGCCACTGCACCTGGCCTAATTTTTGTTTTTGTTTTTGTTTTTGAGATGAGTCTCGCCCTGTCGTCTAGGCTGGAGTGCAATGGTGCGATCTCGGCTCACTGCAACCTCCGCCTCCCAGTTTCAAGCAATTCTCCTGCCTGAGCCTCCTGAGTAGCTGGGATTACAGGCGTGCGCCACCACGCCTGGCTAATTTGTATCTTTAGTATCTTTAGTAGAGATGGGTTTTCACCATGTTGGCCAGGCTGGTCTTAAACTCCTAACCTCATGATCCACCTGCCTGGGCCTCCCAAAGTGCTGGGATTACAGGCGCGCACCACCACGCCTGGCTAATTGGTATCTTTAGTATCTTTAGTAGAGACGGGTTTTCACCATGTTGGCCAGGCTGGTCTTGAACTCCTAACCTCATGATCCACCCGCCTGGGCCTCCCAAAGTGCTGGGATTACAGGCGTGAGCCACCGCGCCTGGCCAATTTTTATATTTTTTTTAGTAGAGTCAGGCTTCACCATGTTGGCCATGCTGGCCTTGAACTCCTGACCTCGTGATCTGCCCTCCTCGGCCTCCCAAACTGCTGGGATTACAGCCTTGAGCCACCACGCCTGGCCCCAACCTTCTTTGTCAAGTGTAACAGAGACAGAGAAACACGTGGAGCATAAAGAAGGAACTTGCACAGTGCTTTCTAAATTGGGCAAACACTTAAAAAGCAAGAATTTTCATACAGATCTAGATTTCTGGCTTCTCTTAAAATACTGGCAGATCTAACCCACTGGGCACACCCTCCTGCAGGGCTGGGAGCCAGCAGCTGCCACTTGCTGTCCCCGCGGTCTGAAGCTCGGCTGCTTCCCTGTGTGTCTGCGTTTATGCCCGTGCCCCCCGCCGCTCCTGTCGCATGCCCACAGTGGGGGCTCCTCCAGTCCGCAGGGGGCCCAGAGTGGTGACCCTGGAGTCCGCTGGCACCCCCTCCTTTTGGCCAGTACACCTAGGAGCAGGCTGGCTGACCCCATGCCCCTCCCCAGGAGGGTTTCTCTTCCCCTCCCAGTTCGCTGACCTCGCCCTCCACGCCCTCCAGCCTGGGGCCCTCACTCTCCAGCACCAGTGGCATCGGGACCAGCCCCAGTTTGAGGTCGCTGCAGAGCCTGCTGGGTAAGGAGGCAGGACGGGGAGCTCACCCCTACCGCAGGAGCCCTGTCTGCCCCACTCCCCGTCATCCTCCTGTGTACCCTACTGCTGAGCACAGGCCTCATGCAGGGCACCCCCCTCACCCAGACTCACTGGCAGGGTCATTTGTCCTGGGGGCTGGGGTGTGGTGGCTGAGTCTCACCTGCAAAATAGGAGGGCGGCTGGGGCCACCAGCTTCTGAGCAGCCAAAGCCCTGGGCTCCACCAAGATTCCCCGAGCCACCATGGAACAGGGTATATCATTCCAGACATTATTCCTGGGCGAGTTGCATCCACTGGATTAGCAAAGGCCTGGGCCTAGGTCCATGCTGTACATCCACCTGGGGTGAGGGGAGTGGGCAGCCGGGACTCAAAGAGTGCAGGGCGGGCGGGGACGGCATCCTCACACGTGGTTCCATGTCCCTGCCACCTGCCAGGCCCCAGTTCCAAGTTCCGCCATGCTCAGGGCACTGTCCTGCACCGAGACAGCCACATCACCAACCTCAAGGGGCTCAACCTCACCACACCTGGTGAGAGTGACGGCTTCTGTGCCAACAAGCTGCGTGTGGCCGTGCCGCTGCTCAGCAGCGGGGGACAGGTGGCTGTGCTTGAGGTGAGGGCCCCACCCCACCAGGGCTGCCCCTCAGTTCCCTGCCTGTGGCAAAGACGCGGAGGGCCTTAGCTACCCACACAACACAGGGAGCACAAACCTTGTGTCAGGCTCCTGCCCGCCTGTCCTGTGATCCTCCCAGCCACCTGCCATGGGGCCTGCCACTTTTATCCCCATTTTACAGATGAGGGAGAAGAGGCACAGAGAGGTTTAGTGACCTGCCCGGGTCACACAGCTGTGTAAGTGGTGGAGCTGGGATCCGAAGCCCGGCCACCTGAGCCCTAAGCCGGAGCTTTTCCCGCCAGTTCACGCTGCTGCCCCCTCACTCTCTGGGGCCTTGTGGTTGGCACTTGGGGCTCAGAGCGCAAGGTGGTCAGGGCAGAGAGCTTGGGTCACCCAGCGGTGGGAGCCTCTGCTGCAGAGGGTGGGCTCCCAGACATGCTGCTTGCCCGCAGCCCCTGGGGACTGGCTTTTCTGCCTGGTACTGATGGGCCTCGGGGTGGGGGCACCTCCCACAGCTACGGAAGCCTGGCCGCCTGCCCGACACGGCACTGCCCACGCTGCAGAATGGGGCAGCTGTGACTGATCTGGCCTGGGACCCCTTTGACCCCCATCGCCTCGCTGTGGGTAAGGAGGCTGGGTGCCTGGGCTTGAGGGAGGGTCCTGGGTCCCGGATAGGGGCTGGGGAGCCCAGAGGTCTTGGGCTCAGCAATGATGAGCCCCTGTCTGTCCTCTGCAGCTGGTGAGGACGCCAGGATCCGACTGTGGCGGGTACCCGCAGAGGGCCTGGAAGAGGTGCTCACCACGCCAGAGACTGTGCTCACAGGTCAGGCAGGCTCAGGAATGGGGCTGGGGTGGCCAGTGTCTCCCAAGGGCTCCTGATCACCCCTGCCTTCCTCCAGGCCACACGGAGAAGATCTGCTCCCTGCGCTTCCACCCACTGGCAGCCAATGTGCTGGCCTCGTCCTCCTATGACCTCACTGTTCGCATCTGGGACCTTCAGGCTGGAGCTGATCGGCTGAAGCTGCAGGGCCACCAAGACCAGGTAGGACGGCTGCAGAGGTGGGGCCAGCAGTGTGGAGAGGCGGGGCCAGCAGTGTGGAGAGGTGGGGCCAGCAGTGAGGAGTGGCGGGGCCAGCAGTGAGGAGAGGCAGGACCAGCAGCGAGGAGGGGTGGGGCCAGCAGTGAGGAGAGGGGGGCCAGTGGTGAGGAGGGGCAGGGCCAGCGGTGAGGAGGGGCCGGGCTAGCATTGAGGAGAAGGGGGGCCAGCAGTGAGGAGAGGGGGGCCAGCAGTGAGGAGAGGCAAGACCAGCAGTGAGGAGAGGCGGGAACAGCAGTGAGGAGGGGCGGCGCCAGCAGTGAGGAGGGGCAGGAGCAGTGGGGAGAGGTGGGGCCAGCAGTGAAGCAAGGCTGTCTCTCATATCCCTTCCTGCCCCCAGATCTTCAGCCTGGCCTGGAGTCCTGATGGGCAGCAGCTGGCCACTGTCTGCAAGGATGGGCGTGTGCGGGTCTACAGGCCCCGGAGTGGCCCTGAGCCCCTGCAGGTGAGCACACAGGGGCTGGGGAGTGGCCTCAGACCTGGTTCAGGGGTGCTGGCTGGGTGTCACGCGATGTATCTCAACAGGAAGGCCCAGGGCCCAAGGGAGGACGCGGAGCTCGCATTGTCTGGGTATGTGATGGTCGCTGTCTGCTGGTGTCTGGCTTTGACAGGTGAGGACTCAGGCATCCCCATCCCCAGGCTTCAGAAGCCACCTGTGTCCCCCTTCTCCACAGTCACATACATTTGTCAGGCTTTCAGAAACCATTCCTGCCCCTCACTGGATGGTTGGGTGGGTGGGTAGATGATTGGATGAGTGGGTAGATGGGTGGATGGATAGGTGGGTGAATGGATGGATGGGTGGATGAATGAATGTGGGGATAGATGGGCGGATGGCTGGATGGATGAATGAGGGGGTAGGGAGAGATCGATGGATGAGTTGGGGGTAAGGGGGAGATGGATGCAGGGGAGGGTGAGGGGGGTAGGGGAGATGGAGGGATGTTTTGGGGGTAGTGGGGAGATGGATAGAGGGGTGGGTGAGGGGTTGGGGGGAGATAGATGCAGGGGTGCACAAGGGGCTCTGGGGGAGATGGAAGCAGGGGCGGTGAGGCAGTCAGGGGTAGATGGATGGGTGAGTGATTAGTGGAGGAGAAAGAGTCAATGGGGAACCCAGAGGTGGAGGGGCAGGTTAGGATGTGGCTGCGGTGCCGGGCCACACTAGGCCTCGCCTACAACCCAGAACAGAGCAGGGGCTACGTGGGCGCCTTCTCCCTGCCCCAGGCCCCTTCAGCTCTGAAACACCTGCTTCAGCCCCCAAACCCCCTTGCAGCCAAAGTGAGCGCCAGCTGCTCCTATATGAAGCTGAGGCCCTGGCCGGCGGACCCTTGGCAGTGTTGGGCCTGGACGTGGCTCCCTCAACCCTGCTGCCCAGCTACGACCCAGACACTGGCCTGGTGCTCCTGACCGGCAAGGTGGGCTGGGCTGGAGGGCGGGATGGCAGGTGAGAGGTGGTGGGGGGAAGGCCAGTGTTGCCGGAGGGTTCCCAGCCTGCCTTCTTCCCCGCAGGGCGACACCCGTGTATTCCTGTACGAGCTGCTCCCCGAGTCCCCTTTCTTCCTGGAGTGCAACAGCTTCACGTCGCCTGACCCCCACAAGGTGAGGCCACCCTGGCGCCTCGTCCCCGATGGGACCACAAGGCTGCCCTGCCCCCTGGTGGCCATGTGGGCAAGTACAGGAGCCTGTGGGTCGGGGGTCAGAGTCCTGGGCTGGGGCTGGGCCTGGGGCTGTGCCCAGTGACTGGCAAGAAGAGTTGCTGCTGGAATTATTTAGGAATTTTGAGAGCCATTGTCATACTCAACCATTATTAAAAATCATACTGTAGGCCGGGTACGGTGGCCTGGAATCCCAACACTTCGGAAGGCTGAGGCAGGAGAATTGCTTGAGCCCAGGAGTTCAAGACCAGCCTGGGCAACATAGCAAGACCCCATCTCTACAAAACAAACAAAAAATTGCACTAGATAAGGTTAAACTATATGAACCTACAATATGAACCTAAAAATAATATTAAAAACCAAAGTAATAAACACTCAGTTTATCACTTCTAATTAATTTATCCAATTTTACTATTATTTGTGCTGAGGTCACATGTTTCTGTGTTGGAGTGCATGGAGGAAATGCAGGATGATGTGCTATTTACATCTCTTCCCAACACCACATTCAGGGAGTGGAGGTGGCACGTAGAAGCTGCCCATGGTGGGAGTTTGTAAACTGTGGAAATAGGAAAACACCACAAATCAGGGCTTTCCCTCCAGAGAGCAGGTTGTTCAACATGATCAACACGTTACTGTCCAGGGACAGGCCCTAGGCATGGTGGTCCTAAGTGAGGGGTGCCGGCACCCTGGGGAGACTACGTGCCCAGCCATGAGCTCTAGGTCCCAGCGGCAGCTCCGACTCCCTTGCTCCCCCAGGGCCTCGTCCTCCTGCCTAAGACGGAGTGCGACGTGCGGGAAGTGGAGCTGATGCGGTGCCTGCGGCTGCGTCAGTCCTCCCTGGAGCCTGTGGCCTTCCGGCTGCCCCGAGTCCGGGTGAGGGTGGGGACCTGGGACTCCCATGCCCACCGCCTTCTCGGTGCCTAGAGGGGAGTTTGGGTCCCGTCTGACCCAGCTTCCAAACTTCCCTACCCATTGTTCATGGGGACACCTACCCCCTTCTGCTGAGATGCTGAAACTCATGGAAGCCCCAGGCTGGTGGGAGGGTCCCAGGTCTTGCCCTGTCCCTCCCCAACAGATGCCCGTGTGCCCTGGGCACCTGGTCAATGTCTCAGGACAGCCCGTTTCTCCCTCTGCAGAAAGAGTTCTTCCAGGATGACGTGTTCCCAGACACGGCTGTGATCTGGGAGCCTGTGCTCAGTGCCGAGGCCTGGCTGCAAGGCGCTAATGGGCAGCCCTGGCTTCTCAGCCTGCAGCCTCCTGACATGAGCCCAGGTGCACCGAGGGACTGGGTGTGGGGAGGAAGCGGGATGGGGGTTGGAGAAAGGGACAGAAGGCCCAGGTTGAAGTTCCATTCCTGTTGGCACGCAGAATCCTCTGGCCTTTGGGAGGGTGGAGTGGCTGTGTCAATCAGTCTCTGAGCCAGTGGAGGGCAGGGCTCGTGGTCTGTGTTTTCATCACAGGTCCCCACCCCTAACACACACACACACGCACACACTGTGGTGTCTAGGGCAGGGCTTATACAGTGAGGCTCCATTGACTGTTAATACCACCTCTTAGATCTGCGCCATAGAAATCCCCTAGGTCGGCCAGGCGCGGTGGCTCATGCCTGTAATCCCAGCACTTTAGGAGGCTGAGGCGAGTGGATCACCTGAGGTCGGGGGTTTGAGACCAGCCTGGCCAACATGGTGAAACCCCATCTCTACTAAAAATACAAAATTAGCCTGGCGTGGTGGGCGCCTGCAATCCCAACTACTCCAGAGGCTGAAGCAGGAGAATCGCTTGAACCCAGAGGAGGCGGAGGTTGCAGTCAGCCTAGGTCACATCATTGCACTCCAGCCTGGGCAACAAGAGCAAAACTCCATCTCAAAAAAAAAAAAAAAAAAGAAAGAAAGAAAAGAAAGAAAGAAATCCCCGAGGGCTTGGCACCAAAGAGCCCTAACGAAGGGGACTCTCTGACACGTGTCCTTGCTCTGTCCCAGTGAGCCAAGCCCCCCGAGAGGCCCCTGCTCGTCGGGCCCCATCCTCAGCGCAGTACCTGGAAGAAAAGTCTGACCAGCAAAAGAAGGAGGAGGTAGGCATGGGAGAGAGCAGCTGTGCGGAGGTGACAGAGTCCTGGCTGCACCTGGCCACGGCCCCTTAGTTCTCCATCCCCAACCCAGACTGGGACAGCAGCCACATGTCACGTCCCCTTCACACCAGAGCCTGGTGGGGAGACCTTCCAGAGCCCTACCACTGACCATGGGGCCCGGGAAGTGGGGGAGGGCAGTGGGAGCCCTGCCCTGGCCAGGCCAAACCCAGCCTAAGCCGGCAGTTCTGGGCCCAAGTGCTTTTGGGACCTTGGAGTATATTTTGAGCACTTGAGGCCATGTGCAGAGATAGTAGCCCTTGTATCTGGTGCCACATGCCGCAGCCTCTCAGTCTCTTACTCCCCCTGTCTCTTCTTTGTGTCTTTTTCAATAGAAACCCATCGATTTTGTCAGGGCTGTAATTAAAATGGCTCTTTTGAGGCCGGGCACGGTGGTTCATGTCTGTAATCCTAACACTTTGGGAGCCCAAGGCAGGCGGATTGCTTGAGCTCAGGAGTTTGAGACCACCCTGGGCAACACGGTGAAACCCCGTCTGTACTAAAATACAAAAATTTAGCCGGGCATGGTGGCGGGCGCCTGTGATCCCAGCTACTCGGGAGACTGAGGCAGGAGAATCACTTGAACCCAGGAGGTGGAGATTGCAGTGAGCCGAAATCGTGCCACTGTACTCCAGCCTGGGTGACAGAGCGAGACTCCGTCTCAATAAATAAATAAATAAATAAAAATAAAAATAAAAATAAAATATAGTGGCTCTTTTGGCCAGGCATGGTGGTTCACACCTGTAATCCCAGCACTTTGGGAGACCAAAGCAAGAGGATATAAGTGATGGAGTTTGAGACCCAGCCTGAGACCAGTGAAACCCCATCTCTACAAAAAAATTTTTTAAATTAACCAGGTGTGGCCAGGCATGGTGGCTCACGCCTGTAATCCCAGCACTTTGGGAGGCCGAGGAGGGCGGATCACCTGAGGTTGGGAGTTCGACACCAGCCTGACCAACATGATGAAACCTCGTCTCTACTAAAAACACAAAATTAGCCGGGCATGGTGGCGCATACCTGTAATCCCAGCTACTTGGGAGGCTGAGGCAGGAGAATCGCTTGAACCCAGGAGGCAGAGGTTGTGGTGAGCCGAGATTGTGCCATTGCACTCCAGCCTAGGCAACAAGAACAAAACTCTGTCTCAAAAAAATAAATAAATAAAATAAAAATTAACCAGGTGTGGTGTTACACACTTGTAGTCCCAGCTACTTGGGAGGCTGAGGCAGGAGAATTGCTTGCACCCAGAAAGTCAAGGCTGCAGTGAGCCATGATTGCACCACTGCACTCCAGCCTTGGTGACAGAGCAAGACCTTGTCTCTCTCTAAAACAAACAAACAAACAAAAAGGCCGGGCGCTGTGGCTCACGCCTGTAATCCCAGCACCGTGGGAGGCCGAGGCGGGCGGATCACGAGGTCAGGAGATCGAGACCATCCTGGCTAACACGGTGAAACCCCCGTCTCTACTAAAAATACAAAAAATTAGCCGGGCATGGTGGTGGGCGCCTGTAGTCCCAGCTCCTTGGGAGGCTGAGGCAGGACAGTGGTGTAAACCCGGGAGGCAGAGCTTGCAGTGAGCCGAGATCGCGCCACTGCACTCCATCCAGCCTGGGCGACAGAGCAAGACTCCGTCTAAAAAAAAAAAAAAGTTCTTTTCACAGCCTTGTCAGGGTTGTTCTTGGAGTGGGAGAGGGAACAGGGAGTCCTATTCCCTTACCTACCCTTCTTCTGCCCTCTCTCCCAGCTGCTGAATGCCATGGTGGCAAAACTGGGGAACCGGGAGGACCCACTCCCCCAGGACTCCTTTGAAGGCGTGGACGAGGACGAGTGGGTGAGTAGTGAGTGGCCTCACTTCCCGGCAGGCAGCGCGGTCCCTCGCACATGCCACGGTGCATGCCTCCTCCCTTCCCAGGCCCTCCTGACTCCCTCCCACCTCTTGGTGTTTCGCCCCAGGACTAGCCTGCGCCCCCGTCACCTCCACCTCACCTGTGCTGCCACTTCCTAGTGCACACCTCACGGCTCATCCTCAAGCTGGAAGATACCTCTCTGGCCCCGGCACATGTCACCCCTGCACTCCTGCCTTCCCGTGGGCACTTCCACATCCTCTGGGCCTCTGGCAGTTCCCAGGGACTGTTTTCACCTCTGCTGTCTCTGGGGTCAGCTGCTGCTCATCAGCTGCCCGCTAGCATGTGGCCAGGGGTGCAGGGTGGCGGGGGGTCAGCAGCATGTCCCTGGGCAGGCCCTGGGCACCCTGTCTCCCCTGGTCTCACTGCTGACCTGGGCTGGTCCCAGCCTGGATTGGCCTCATCCAGGATCTTTGGTCACCCCACGCTGCCCCATCTTGCCTGCTGTTCCAGTTCTGGTCAAGGGCCTTGGGGGCTGGCCCCCCACCAGGCCTTCTAGAGCAGCACCAGTCTCAGGGCCCTGGGACCAGCTGCCCTACTTCCCAGGTTTGTAGCCAGGAGAAGGGGGCATCACAGAGCTGATGGTCCAATAAGGGGGGTGTGAGCCCCGCAGGGACTGGCCCGCACCTGCCTTGGATGTTTTCAGCAATTAAACTTTTTTAAGCTGGCCACCTCTTGTGCTGCTGTGGTCTCTGGGCTGGCTGGAAAGGGAAGGGGACAGGAATGTGGGTGACAGGGGTCTGGCCCTGGGCTCCCCTTTATCTCAGCCTCACTCTGGTCCCAAGGCCCAATCACCTGCGCACTGCTGGGAGTCATTCGCTCACCATGCAGGTTCCTGGCAGTGCTCTGGATGGCGGGATGCTATAAAGGACAGGAGAGATAAGGTCTTGCAAGGACCTTCAGCTTCTTACAGCCTCCTTATGCAGGGGAACCAGACTGCACACGAGCATATAGAGTGTGAAGACAGCAGTAAAGAAGAGAAACTGGCTGGGCACGGTGGCTCATGCCTATAATACTAGCACTTTGGGAGGCCAAGGTGGGAGGATCGTTTGAGGCCAGGAGTTCAAGACCAGCCTGGCCCACATGGTAAAACGCTGTCTCTACTAAAAATACAAAAAGTAGCCAGGTGTAGTGGTAAGCGCCTGTAATCCAAGCTACTTGGGAAGCTGAGGGAGGAGAATTGCTTGAACCCAGGAGTCAGAGGTTGCAGTGAGTCAAGATCCTGCCATTGCACTCCAGCCTGGGTGACAGAGCAAGACTCAGTCTCAAAAAACAAACAAACAAACAAAAAAACCTGTGGGACAGGAAGCAACTGGGATGCAGCGAGGCAGGGAATTCAGGGCCTGAGAAGGTGACTTTCAGCTAAGAGCCAAGACTTGAAGGCTGATGAGGAGCCAGCCAGGGAGAGAGCCACTTCCGAGGCAAGGAAGTACAATGTGGGCACAGAGAGAGGAATGTGGAGGCCAGGAGGAAGAGGAAGAAGGGCAGCGGTGTAGAGTAGGATTCCAGGTGGCCCAACTTTCATCCCACCATTTGCCGAATGCTGTGCGCCAGATGCTCTTCCAGGCGCTTGACATCTAACAGCAGAGAAGAGAGAGGAAATGCTTGCCCAACAGGAACTCCCATTCTAGTGGAAGGAAACAGATTCTCAACAATAAACATAAAAATAAAGGGAGGCCAAGGTGGGAGGATTGCTTGAACCCAGGAGTTTGAGGTCAGACTGGGCAACATAGGGGAACCCTTGTCTCTACAAAGAATACAAACATTAGCTGGGCGCGGTGGCTCACGCCTGTAATCCGAGCACTTCGGGAGGCCAAGGCAGGCGGATCACGAGGTCAGGAGCACGAGACCATCCTGGCTAACACGGTGAAACCCCGTCTTTACTAAAAATACAAAAAATTAGCCGGACATGGTGGCCCATGCCTGTAGTCCCAGCTACTCAGGAGGCTGAGGCAAGAGAATCTCTTGAACCCAGGAAGCAGAGGTTGCAGTGAGCCGAGGTCATGCCACTGCACTCCAGGCTGGGCAACAGGGAGACGCTCTCAAAAAGACAAAAAACAAACATTAACCACATGTGTTGGCACATGCCTGTGGTCCCAGCTACTCAGAAAGCTGAGGTGAAAGTATCACTCAAGGCTGGAAGGTCAAGACTGCAGTGAGCCATGATCATGCTACTGTACTGCAGCCTGGGCAACAGAGTGAGACCCTATCTTGAAAAAAAAAAATTTTTTTTTGGCTGGGCACGGTGGCTTACACCTGTAATCCCAGCACTTTCGGAGGCTGAAGTGGGAGGATCACTTGAACCCAGGAGGTGGAGATCGCAGTGAGCCAAGATTGGGCCACTGCTCTCCAGCCTGGGTGACAGAGCAAGACTTCATCTCAAAAAAAAAAAAAAAAGGAAAAATAATTTAAAAATAAAAAACCGGTTGGGCACAGTGTCACATGCCTATAATCCCAGCACTTTGGGAGGCTGTGGCGGGTGGATCATTTGAGACCAGTAGTTCAAGACCAGCCTGGCCAACATGGTGAAACCCTGTCTCTACTAAAAATTCAAAAATTAATGGGGCATGGTGGTCCATGCCTGTAATCCCAGCTACTCAGGAGGCTAAAGCATGAGCATCGCCTGAACCTGGGAGGTGGAGGTTGCAGTGAGGCAGGATTGTGCCACTGGACTCCAGCCTGGGCGACAGGGTGAGACCCTGTCTCAAAATGATAAATAAAATAAATAAGTAAATTATGTGGTATGGTAGAGGGTGATCAGAGTCTTGGAAGAAAAATAGAGACAAGAAGGGAGGATAAGCCAGTCACAAAAGGCTGCACATTGTATGATTCAATTTCTTCTTTTTTTTCATTTTTCATTTTTACCTTTTTTTTTTTTTTTTTTTTTTTTTGAGGCAGGGCCTGACTCTGTCACCCAGGCTGGAGTGCAGTGATCACAGCTCACTGCAGCCTGTACCTCCCGGGCTCAAGAGATCCACCACTCAGCCTCCCAAGTAGCTGGGATTACAGGCACCTGCCACCACACCCGGCTAATTTTTGTATTTGTAGAGATGGGGTTTCACCATGTTGCCCAGCCTGGCCTTGAGTTCCTGACCTCAAGCGATCCACCTCGGCCTCCCAAAGTTTTGAGATTGCAGGCATGAGCCACCACGCCTGGCTTGTATGATTCCATTTCTATGAAATGTCCGGAACCTGTGAATCCATAGAGAGAAAAATGAGTGGTTGACAGGGGCTGGGGGAGGGGGCTGGGGAGTGACTAATGGGTGATGAAAACGTTCTGGAACTAATAGTGGTGACAGTGGCACAGCTCTGTGAATAAAAGGCATTGGACTGTGCACTTGAAAATCATGAAATCTACAGTGTATGGATTATATCTCAATAAAGCTGTTACTTTTTTCATTCATGGAGGGCAAGTCACGGCGTTTTAAGGGGTCCAGGTGGGCCTCATTGAGGTGACATTTGAGCAAAGATTTGAAGAAGGGAACGAGCTTCTCAGGCAGGAGGAATGTGGATGAAACCTATTTTGAAGTTTTCTATTTTCTAAAGTATTTTTGAGAATTTAGCATCCTACTCCATATTATGTTCATTGATTTCATATAATGTTGCATTCCCAAATATTTTGGCAAAATCAAGGGCAGAAATCGCCCCACGTCTGACCGATGTGCTTAGCTGCTCCAGCGCACTGGGGTAAGCACGCGGGCAATTGAGACTCCCGGTAACGCCCCTTGCCCTCCCAAGCCCGCCCCCAGTTATCCAGAGCCCGACGCAGGCTCAGTCAAACCCCGCCTCCGACCCCGCCCCGAGCCGCTAAGACGCTCCCGGTGGCCCGCCCTTAGACTGAGGCAATGCGCATGCCCAGCGCCGTATCGCGCACGCGCTCTCTGCGGCTTTCCTTGACCTCTGACCCGCCGACCACGCTTGATCCCCGGCCGCGGGGCCAGGAAGTCGGAGTTTGAGCCCCGGAGGCAGAGCGGCTGCCATGGTGAGCCCCGAGTCGGGCGCTACCGGGGAGGGGAAGCCGAGTCGGGCCGGGGGCCGGGGGCCGGGCGGCGAGCTCCGGGCTGGGCGGCGGGCGCCGTGCGCCCCCTGCGTGCCCGGCGGGAAGCATGGTCTGGGGGCGTTGCACCCGGGGGAATCGAGGCCGGCAGCGGCGGCACCGGCGGCCTCAGGGCCAGGGAAAACCGTCTGCCTGGAAGAGGCCGGGCAAACGTGGTCGCGCTGTGCCTAGCCCGCGTGTGAGCGAGCAGCCGTGGGCAGCGGTGGAGCATGAGTCTGGCTGGTGAGCGCCTCCCCTGCCCTGGAACCTTACAGCGCTGCAGAGTCGATGTTGCTGCCCTGTTGTTATCCCCAGTGGAAAGCTGGCCTTTCCAGGGAAGTGGCTGACCTGGGACTTGAACTAGGCCCCGAGACACCGAGCACGGAGCGTTTGTGTGATATCGTTGGCACGTAGAGCCAGTCAACAGACCTGCGCCACACTGTCAGGTCACCTAGGGTAGCTTTAAAAGTGCAGGTTTGGCTGGGCGCGGTGGCTCACGCCTGTAATCCCAGCACTCTGGGAGGCCGAGGCGGCGGATCACGAGGTCAGGAGTTCGAGACCAGCCTGGCCAACATGATGAAACCCGGTCTCCACCAAAAAATTTAAAAAATTAGCCGGGTGGGGTGGTGCGCGCCTGTAGTCCAAGCTACCCGGGAGGCTGAGGCAGGACAGACGCTTGAACCCGCGAGACAGAGGTTGCAATGAGCCGAGATCCGCCAGTGCACTCTAGCCTGGGCGACAGGGTGAGACTGCGTCTCAAAAAAAAAATTATATATATGTATTATATATACCGTATACATTTATGTATACTACATATTATTATGTTATATATATTTTTATATATCATGTATTTTATATATATATATACACACACACACACATAATATATACCTATATTAGCCAGGCATGGTGGCACACACCTGTAATCCCAGCTGCTTGGGAAGTTGAGGCGCCAGTATCGCTTGAACCCAGGAGGCAGAGGCTGCAGTGAACCAAGATTGTGCCACTGCACTCCAGTCTGGGCGACAGGGCAAAACTCTCTCAAAAAGAAAAAGAGGGGGAAAAAAAAAGTTCAGGTTCTTGAGCTCTATCCCTGGAGGTTCTGCACACGTAAGTTCCCCAAGTGACTCTGTTGCAGCTGGTTCGGGGAGCCACTTCTTAACTAACATAGTAATAAGGATAATGTAACAGCTAACGGCGTACAAGTGCCAGCCCCTGAGCTAAGGCTTTATGTAGAGTCTCTCATTTAGTGTTTATGAAGTCCTGCTGTCATTGTCCTTATTTTACAGATAAGGAACCTGAGCCCCAGACAGTTTTGACTCCACCATAGTCATGCATCCCATGGTGTCAGAGACCTCTTTTGAGCCCAGCTCTGTCCCAAAACTCATGGGGTTTTTTTGGTTTGTTTTTTGAGATAGGATGTCTGTCTGTCGCCCCGGCTAGGATGCAGTGGAGCGATCCTAGCTCACTGCAGCCTTGAACTCCTAGGCTCAAGCCATCCTCCTACCTTAGACCCCCAAGTAGTTGGGCCTACAGGTGAGTGCCAGCACACCTGGCTAATTTTTAAATTTTATGTAGAGGTGGGGTCTTGCTGTGTTGCCCCAGATGGGTCTCCTAGGCTGGAGTACAGTGGTACGATCACAGCTCACTGCAGCCTCAACCTCCTGGGGCTTAGGTGATCCTCCCATTTCATCCTCCCCAGTAGCCTCAGCCTCCCGGGTAGTTGGGACAACAGGCATGCTCCACTATGCCCAGCTAATTTTTTGTATTTTTTGTAGAGATGCAGTTTCGCCATGTTGCCAGGCTGGTCTCAAACTTCTGGGCCCAAGCAGTCCTCCTGCCTCGGACTCCCAAAGTGCTGGGATTATAGGCGTGAGCCACCGCACCCAGCATGACAGTATATTAACAGGAAAAGAAAGTGCTGGCCGGGCACGGTGGCTCACACCTGTAATCCCAGCACTTTGGGGGTCTCAGGCGGGTGGATCACGAGGTCAGGAGATCAAGACCATCCTGGCTAACATGGTGAAACCCCGTCTCTACTAAAAATACAAAAAATTAGCCGGGTGTGGTGGCAGGCACCTGTAGTCCCAGCTACTCAGGAGGCTGAGGCAGGAGAATGGCTTGAACCCGGGAGGCCGAGCTTGCAGTGAGCCGAAGGTCGCGCTACTGCACTCCGGCCTGGGTGACAGAGCAAGACTCCGTCTCAAAAAAAAAAAAAAAAAAAGAAAGTGCTAGGCCGGGTACGGTGGCTCACGCCTGTAATCCCAGCACTTTGGGTGGATTACCTGAGCTCAGGGGTTCGAGACCAGCCTGGGCAACACGGTGAAACCCTCTCTGTACTAAAAATACAAAAAATTAGCCGGGCATGGCAGCGTGTGCCTGTAGTCCCAGCTACTCAGGAGGCTGAGGCAGAAGAATTTCTTGAACCCGGGAGGCAGAGGCTGCAGTGAGCCGAGATCGCACTACTGCACTCCGGCCTGGGCGACAGAGCAAGACTCCATCTCCAAAAAAAAAAGAAAGTGCTGTCGGAAGGTATACATGGGAGAGCCTGGAAAGGGTTTCACCCGGGGGATGGGGAATGATATTAGGTCCTGAGGGATGTTGGGTTTTGACAGGATCAGGGTAGAAGGGAGGATGTTCAAGGTGGAGGAACTCAGAACAGCAAAGGCCCTGAGGAGTACAGAAGTATGAGAGCGGCTCTAGGAGCAGAGGGTGTGGCTGCAGCGTGGAGAGAGGTGAGGTTGAGAAGTTGAGGCCAGACCAGGCGCTGTGAATGCCAAGCTGGGGAGTGGACCAAATCTGCAGGCGGCGGTGGAGAATTGTGTGTTTACTGGGAGATGGCCAGAACCCTCCCGCAGAAGGGTTAGGAGGCGCTTGGAAACCCTGCCTGGGGACATGGAGTTCATGAGACAGCAGATTGGGCAAAGCTGCAACAGCCATATTCATTCAGATGCACCAGGGGCACTTACTGCGCCAGCCACTGGCCAGGTCCCTGATGTTGTGGCACGTGCTACAGTTGTGGTCCTGACCTTTCTCCTGTCTAGTTGTGATGCCCGTATCTATTCTCAGGGGCCCTGGGTGACCAGAGTGTCCTTGAGAGTGAGTCTCAGGCTGTCTGCTTATCTACCCAGAGCCTGGGGCTTGGCCTCAAAGGCGCATTGCACGCGAATCTCAAAGACACAAGTCAGTGTAAGCCCCATTGCTGAGTGCCTCCCACAGCACTGTCTGTGGTCCCAGCTGCTGGGATCTGGTCCTGCCTTGGGCCAGGTTGCTGCCCAACAACGAAGTGCACATGCTGCCCCCACGCATGCCAGGATTGGATCCTGTGCTTCTGACTGCTGCTCTCTGACAGCCGCGTGGCCTGAAGTTGGATGCCAAGTCAGCTGGGTCCTCTCACCTGGGACCCTCAGGCCCAAGTGTCAGTCGGTGGACTATGGGATGTTTGGAGCCTCTGGGAGGGGCCTCAGGCAGTGGTTGTTTTGGTCACCCATGGTAGCCACAGCTGGCAGAGCTCTGCTCCCTGTGAATGAGCTCTGAACTCAGCCTGACCCATGGCAGAAGCTCAGGGGATGTTGGGGTACTGGATAGGTGGATGAGGGGCTTGCCTGCACCGCCTAGTTCTGGACCTGCCGCTGTTTGTCCATGTGGTGTTAATGGGCATTGCCTCCTGAGGGCCTTACTGTCCTCTTGTGAGGAGGGTGTTATTCTCTCCATCTTGCAGTTAAGAAAACTGAGGTAGGCTGGGCACAGTAGCTCACACCTGTAATCCTAGCACTTTGGGAAGCCGAGGAGGGCAGTTCATGCGAACCTAGGAGTTCAAGACCAGCCTGGGCAACATGGCGAAACCCCATCTCTCCAGAAAAGTACATTTAGCCAAATGTGGTGGCGTGTGCTCAGCCTCCAGAAGTTATGAAATTTCCACCTACTTGTGAAATCCTAACCCACTTGTGTTTGTTCATTCCCCTAATGGCCCATATCACATCCCGCCTGTTAAGGAAAGAGCAGGTCCTCGGAGGCTGAGTACAAGTAGCTCCAGCTACTCGGGAGGCTTAAGCAGGAGAATCTCTTGAGGCTGGGAGGCTGAGGCTGCAAGTGAGCCATGATTGCACCACTGCACTCCAGCCTGGACGACAGAGTTAGACTCTGCTTCCAAAAAAAAGGCCAGGTGTGGTGTCTCATGCCTGTAATCCCAGCACTTTGGGAGGCCGAGGCGGGTGGATCACCTGAGGTCAGGAGTTTGAGACCAGCCTGACCAACATGGTGAAACCTCGTCTCTATTAAAAATACAAAATTAGCTAGGCTTGGTTGTGTTCACCTGTAATCCCAGTTACTTGGGAGGGTGAGGCAGGAGGATCGTTTGAACTGGTGAGGTGGAGGTTGCAATGAGCCGAGATTGAACCACTGCACTCTAGCCTGGGTGACAGAGCGAGAGTCAGTCTCAAAAAAATAAATAAAAAATAAAAGACCCAAACCAAAACAAAAAAAGATTCAGAGAGGTTGAGTAATTTGTCCAGGGTCACACAGCTATTGAGAAAGAAAGCTAGGGTTCTGGTCCCAGGTCAACGTGGTTCTCGTTCTGCTTCCTTGCTGCTTCCCAGCTCCCTGAGGGAATGTAGTATGGTGTTTTGCAGCCTTCACCCCTGAGGAAGCAAAGGGCCTGTATCAAATGAGCTGCTATTTTGAAAGAAGCTTTGTTACTTCATAGTGCCTGGTCATTGTCAGATTTTGTGAAACAGTAGTAATGAATGAAAACCAATGTTTATTGAGCACCTGCTGTACCATTAGGCTGTGTGCCAGGCATTTGACAGGCATTATCTCAGCTTTATTGGTGGCCACATTTTACAGGTAAGCAAACTGGGTTGCTCAAAGGAGTTGAGAACGTGTCTATGTCAGATAGCTGGGATTTTTGCACACAGGTGATCCCAAAGCCTGCAGGTGTAACCATTACACTACACTGCGTCTTCTCAGAGATGCCTCCTATAGGAACCTTGCTGGCCTCAATGGGCCGTCCAGTCTGCTGAAACTTTGCAGGCCAGCCCCCCTCTGCCCTGCAGCTCTAGGCAGCTGAAGCCACAGGCCACCACGCCGCTTTGGTTTGAAGTGTGCAGGGGATGGTCGGGGAAGCTCCCCAGTTATGACCTCAGCTCTTACCGTTCATTATTTTGCAACAGTCATTGGCCTTGGCAGAAAAGTAAACAAGTGATTGCAAGGCTGTACGATGGCAGCAGAGGGACCGAAGGCTGTTGGTGTGAGGGGTAGTCTGAGACCTGAGCCGTGTTTCAAGCCGAGGGGACCCTCTGACTTTCACCTCTGTCCTTCAGACAGCACCAGCATCCCATCCCTGAGCCTCCTGTTCCACTCGGGAGGGGCTTTAGGAAGGAGGCGAAGTCAGGTGAGACCGCAGGTGTCATCAGGTGCATCCCTGACCCTCCCTCATCTGCAGTACAGCCACAGCCCTGCCCCTCGCTGTGATCACAGGAGGGTCTTCTCTGGGCTCTTTCTGCTGTGAAATCCAGAAGTTATGAAGTTTCCACCTACTTTTGAAATCTTAACCCACTTGTTTGTTCATTCCCCTAATGGCCCATAATGACATCCCACCTGTTAAGGAAAGAGCAGGTCCTCGGAGGCTGAACAAGGCCAGCTCTGGAGTCGAATCCACTGGAATCTGGAGCAAGCCCCTCTGGCCTCGGGGTTGGGTTCTTGATACTTGTCGGCTTGCCCAGGTGCCCTACCTTCAGACCCCGGGACCCTGCGTAGTGACTGCTGTGACAGATAGCACCAGCCTTGGGTTTCCGATCTGCCTCCGAGGCACCTGCTGTTACGTCCTCGGGCCAGTCAGCAGTCCCCCACCCCTGAGTTGTCAGAATTAAACGGCACAATGAATTGAACGTGTTTGGCACCGTGCCTGGTGTGTGGACTCAGTTGATACTTGTTGACCGAAGGCAAATCTACAGAAAAGCACTAGGAAGAAAGGGAAAGTCACTCGGCTGTGCCACATGAGCTTTCAACCTATGCCGAGCTGCCTCCAGCCCGCGCCACCCCCCTGCGTCTACGGCTTTGCAGTCACAAGATCCTTTGTATGTGCTGTCTATATATAATCGCTTTGTTTCACAAAGATCTGTGCATCTTTCCATGTCATCCGCCAGATTCCCAGTCTTTCCCAGGCCAGCCTAGGCTATTGGCTGCTCGCAGGAACTCCCTTCTGCCTTCTCTCCTGCCAGTTTTGGCTCAACCCAGTCCCTCTGCCTAGAAAGCCCTAGTATTTCCATCATGATTCTTCCTACCCTGCAAAGCCCAGCCCAGGAGGAACCCCCTCCTCTCACGGAACCCCCTCCTCTCACAGAACCCCCTCCTCTCACACAATCCCCTCCTCTCACACAATCCCCTCCTCTCACAGAACCCCCTCCTCTCACGGAACCCCCTCCTCTCACGGAACCCCCCCCCTCACACAATCCCCTTCTCTTACGGAACCCCCTTCTTTTACGGAACCCCCTTCTCTCACAGAACCCCCTTCTCTCACGGAACCCCCTTCTCTCACGGAACCCCCTTCTCTCACAGAACCCCCCCTCACACAATCCCCTCCTCTCACGGAACCCCCTCCTCTCACAGAACCCCCTCCTCTCACGGAACCCCCTCCTCTCACACAGTCCCCTTCTCTCACAGAACCCCCTTCTCTCACACAATCCTCTCACGGAACCCCCTCCTCTCACGGAACCCCCTCCTCTCACAGAACCCCCTCCTCTCACAGAACCCCCTACTCTCACACAGTCCCCTCCTCTCACGGAACCCCCTCCTCTCACAGAACCCCGTCGTCTAACGGAACCCCTTCCTCTCACGGAACCCCCTCCTCTCACACAGTCCCCTCCTCTCAGAGAACCCCCTCCTCTCACACAGTCCCCTCCTCTCACAGAACCCCCTCCTCTCACAGAACCCCCTCCTCTCACACAATCCCCTCATCTCACGCAACCCCCTCCTCTCACAGAACCCCCTCCTCTCACACAGTCCCCTCCTCTCACAGAACCCCCTCCTCTCACACAATCCCCTCCTCTCACGGAATCCCCTCCTCTCACACAGTCCCCTCCTCTCACAGAACCCCCTCCTCTCACAGAACCCCCTCCTCTCACACAGTCCCCTCCTCTCAGAGAACCCCCTCCTCTCACAGAACCCCCTCCTCTCACACAGTCCCCTCCTCTCACAGAACCCCCTCCTCTCACAGAACCCCCTCCTCTCACACAATCCCCTCCTCTCACGGAACCCCCTCCTCTCACAGAACCCCCTCCTCTCACACAGTCCCCTCCTCTCACACAATCCCCTCCTCTCACGGAACCCCCTCTCACACAGTCCCCTCCTCTCACAGAACCCCCTCCTCTCACACAATCCCCTCCTCTCACGGAACCCCCTCCTCTCACACAGTCCCCTCCTCTTACAGAACCCCCTCCTCTCACAGAATCCCCTCCTCTCACACAGTCCCCTCCTCTCACAGAACCCCCTCCTCTCACAGAACCCCCTCTTATCACACAGTCCACTCCTCTCACAGAACCCCCTCCTCTCACAGAACCCCCTCTCACACAATCCCTCCCTCTCACGGAACCCCTCATCTCACAGAACCCCCTCCTCTCACACAGTCCCCTCCTCTCACGGAACCCCCTCGTCTCACAGAACCCCCTCCTCTCACGGAACCCCCTCCTCTCACGGAACCCCCTCCTCTCACACAGTCCCCTCCTCTCACGGAACCCCCTCCTCTCACACAGTCCCCTCCTCTCACAGAACCCCCTCCTCTCACAGAACCCCCTCCTCTCAGAGAACCCCCTCCTCTCACACAGTCCCCTCCTCTCACAGAACCCCCTCCTCTCACAGAACCCCCTCCTCTCACACAATCCCCTCCTCTCACGCAACCCCCTCCTCTCACAGAACCCCCTCCTCTCACACAGTCCCCTCCTCTCACACAATCCCCTCCTCTCACACAATCCCCTCCTCTCACGGAATCCCCTCCTCTCACACAGTCCCCTCCTCTCACAGAACCCCCTCCTCTCACAGAACCCCCTCCTCTCACACAGTCCCCTCCTCTCAGAGAACCCCCTCCTCTCACGACACCCCCTCCTCTCAGGGAACCCCCTCCCTCTCAAAGAACCCCCCCTCACAAAATCCCCTCCTCTCACGGAATCCCCTCCTCTCATAGAACCCCCTCCTCTCACGGAAACCCCTCCTCTCACAAAGTCCCCTTCTCTCACCAGAATCCCCTCCTCTCAGACAATCCTCTAACGGAACCCCCTCTTCTCCTCGGAATCCCCTCCTCTCACGGAACCCCCTCCTCTCACAGAACCCCCTCCTCTCACACAGTCCCCTCCTCTCACAGAACCCCCTCCTCTCACACAGTCCCCTCCTCTCACAGAACCCCCTCCTCTCACGGAACCCCCTCCTCTCACACAGTCACCTCCTCTCACGGAACCCCCTCCTCTCACAGAACCCCCTCCTCTCACAGAACCCCCTCCTCTCACAGAACCCCCTCCTCTCACACAGTCCCCTCCTCTCACGGAACCCCCTCCTCTCACAGAACCCCCTCCTCTCACACAGTCCCCTCCTCTCACGGAACCCCCTCCTCTCACAGAACCCCCTCCTCTCACAGAACCCCCTCCTCTCACACAGTCCCCTCCTCTCACGGAACCCCCTCCTCTCACACAGTCCCCTCCTCTCACAGAACCCCCTCCTCTCACACAGTCCCCTCCTCTCACAGAACCCCCTCCTCTCACAGAACCCCCTCCTCTCACACAGAACCCCCTCTTCTCACACAGAACCCCCTCCTCTCACGGAACCCCCTCCTCTCACAGAACCCCCTCCTCTCACACAGAACCCCCTCCTCTCACAGAACCCCCTCCTCTCACGGAACCCCCTCCTCTCACGGAACCCCCTCCTCTCACGGAACGCCCTCCTCTCACACAGAACCCCCTCCTCTCACCGAATCCCATCTCAGTCTTGAGTTTTCCCTCGACTCTGTTGCTTCCGCTCACATCTTAGTGAGTCCCCAGGGCCTCTGCGGGGCATGGAATCACACGTGCAGTGTTCCGGCATGTTCAGCCTGGTGTGTGACAGTGGGGTTCCCTGCCAGGCCAGCAGTGTGCTCTGACTCGGGGCAGGGACCAGGTTCTGTGTAGCTTTGTGCTCAAGTGCTGAGCAGAGTAGACTCTCAGCAGATGTTTGAATGAATGGGTGAACCAATGGCTGCACAAATGAACGAGCCTGACTCTCCCTCATGATTTGGTCCATAGTGTGTTTAAATACCCTCCTAGTGGGCTTTTAGCTCCTTGAAGATGGAAACAGGTTTGCATAGTAAGTTTGTTTTATTGAATGGAATGGACTTAAAGTCTTCGGACTTGGGAGAATTAGGACAGATCTGTTTCCCCGTTGGTAAAGTAAAGGTTGGGCCTGATGATCTCAGAAACTCAGGAAGAGTGATGGTCGGCCCCAGGGTCGAGAGTGAGTTACTGCCAGGTCCAGGGCTGTCCCTGTGTTCTGGCTCCCAGACCACAGTGTTTCTTCCTGAAGCCGGTGGTTGCAGCCACTTTGCCTTGCTCCTCTACGCCTTTCCTGAAGGATGAGGTGGGGCCAGTCTGCCTCTGGGAGCTCGGTCAAGTTCACCCGCCTGCCTGCCTGTCCAGTGAGTAACTAAGCCACCCACCATGGAAGCTTTCATTCAGGGTGCTTTGGAGGGGTTGGCCTGGGGCTGCAGCTCTGTGCTTCATGACCTCGGGTCTCCGGGAGCCTTGCCCCTCGGCAGCCGTTTCCAGGGCCCATCTCTGTGGGCCCACAGGGAGTGGCCTGCTAACCGGGTGCCTGCTTTGCCCACAGGCCAAGTACCTGGCCCAGATCATTGTGATGGGCGTGCAGGTGGTGGGCAGGGCCTTTGCACGGGCCTTGCGGCAGGAGTTTGCAGGTAAGCATGGGTCCGTCTCCCCTGTGGGCTGGGAGTTCCTCTCCAGGTCAGATTTTCCCCGTAGCCATGGGCACCTCAGGCCTGGCGGTTCTGAAGTGTGCGTGGCCTGAGGCACTTCCCATGGTGGGGGGTGATGCCAGACCGGGGCATTCTTCAGTGGTACCTGGTTAGCAAGAGCATCCAGGGCAGGAGCTGGCACACTGGCCCATCTGGATACCTGATTTTGTAAACTTGTTTTTTCTTTTTTTGGAGATGGAGTCTCACTCTGTCGCCCAGGCTGGAATGCAGTGGGGCAATCTTGGCTCACTGCAACCTCTGCCTCCTGGTTCAAGTGATTCTCCTCCCTCAGCCTCCTGAGTAGCTGGGAATACAAGCACCCGACACCATACCAGGCTAATTTTTGTATTTTTAGTAGAGACGGGGTTTCACTATGTTGGCCATGCTGGTCTGGAACGCCTGACTTCAGGTGATCCGCCTGCCTCAAAGTGCTGGGATTACAGGTGTGAGCCACAGCGCCCGGCCCTGGTTTTGTAAATAAATCTTTTTTTTTTGAGACGGAGTTTTCGCTCTTGTTGCCCAGGCTGGAGTGCAATAGTGCGATCTTGGCTCACTGCAACCTCTGCCTCCCGGGTTCAAGCAATTCTTCTGCCTCAGCCTCCTGAGTAGCTGGGACTACAGGCATGCGCCACCATGCCCGGCTAATTTTGTATTTTTAGTAGAGACGGGGTTTCTCCGTGTTGGTCAGGCTGGTCTTGAACTCCCAACCTCACGTGATATGCCCACCTCGGCCTCCTGAAGTACTGGGATTACAGGCGTGAGCCACCGCACCCAGCCCTTTTGTTTTCTTTTGAGACGGAGTCTCACTGTGTTGCCCAGGCTGGAGTGCAATGGTGCGATCTTGGCTCACTGCAACCTCTGCCTCCCGGGTTCAAGCAATGCTCCTGCCTCAGCCTCTCCAGTAGCTGGGACTACAGGCATGTGCCACCACACCCAGCTGATTTTTGTATTTTTAGTAATTTTGTATTTTACAGGTTTTCATCATTTTGGCCAGGATGGTCTCGATCTCTTGACCTCGTGATCTGCCCTCCTTGGCCTCCCAAAGTGCTGGGATTACAGGCGTGAGCCACTGTGCCCGGCCGACAGGCTGCTTTCAAGGCAGAGTTGAATGGTTCCAGTGTAGGCTCATTAGCCCGCAAAGCCTAAAATAGCTACTCTCTGAGCCTTTAGGAAAAGTTTAGCAGCTCCTGATTCTAGGTTCTGGGGTCACTGAAAGGGGAGAGGTCACCCAAGGCAGTGGCTTTGGTGGTCTAGGTGACAGGTGGGCAGCTGGGCCCCTGCAGAGCCCTCTCATGCCCGCAGCCCCACTATACAGTCTCCATCGTAGCCTAAAGCTCCCCAATTTGCTGTTCCCCTGGGATATGGGGGTTGGGGGACAGGGTCATCTCATGGTCTAGGTTGGGGACCAGGAGCCAGGATTAGCGGTCAGATCCTGCCCTTACCCTCCAGTGAGGCACGTCTGTCCTCACTTTCCCAGCCTCTACCCCCTAAAAAGGAAACCACTCCTGGAGAAGAGGCAGCTCCTAGCCACCTGTCCCTGTGTCTCTCATCCTGTGCTGGTGGCAGGGGTGAGCCACCAACTCGGAAGGCCCAGGGTGAAGTGTGGGCTGCTGAGGACTGAGCGATCACCCACATGTCCACACAGCCAGCCGGGCCGCAGCTGATGCCCGAGGACGCGCTGGACACCGGTCTGCAGCCGCTTCCAACCTCTCCGGCCTCAGCCTCCAGGAGGCACAGCAGATTCTCAACGTGTCCAAGCTGAGCCCTGAGGAGGTCCAGAAGGTGAGGCCACTGGGCCACCCCAAAGTTTGAGAGGGAGAGGCTGCCAGGGTGGGAAGAGTGAAGGGAGGCCTGGCCAGGGAGGTCCGATGTGGAGGCTGCAGCTGCACCCAGCTCGGACTCCAACTTTCGGGAGCCACTGTTGCTCGTGAAGTTTTAGGCCTGAGGCAGGACAGTCTAGAGACAAAGAGTGCCTTCCAGTAGCAGCTCAGTTGCCCTCCAGGGTACCCGTCCCCATCTCTGCCTCTCAGTGGCCACAACAGCTGGGTGTGGCACACAGGGTGGAGAGGAGTCCTGTTGCCTCTCTCACGTGGCCCCACATAGCCTGCCCAACATCTCTTGCCTGCAGTCTGCAGCCCTCTCACCCGTCCCCTCTCCTCTGCAGAACTATGAACACTTATTTAAGGTGAATGATAAATCCGTGGGTGGCTCCTTCTACCTGCAGTCAAAGGTGAGTGGTCTTTGATTCTGGGAGGAATGAAGTCATGGGACCCCTTCTTCTCACCTGGGGCTCAATTCCTAGTTGGGGGAGCTGGCCAGCTAAGGGCTTGGCACACAGAAAACTGTGCCAGGCTTTCCCATGGTGCCCCAGCCTCAGGGAGGCCCCCTGAACTGCCACCCCTCTGACTGCTTCAGCTTTGCGGGGTCCAGCCACTCAGGCTGTGTCACCCCAGATAGAGCCCTCCCTCCCAGCAGCTGGGACTTCGAAGGAGCAGGAGCCCCCGTGGGTGGGGTGCTAGAAACAGCTCTCAGCTCACAGAGGTCACAGCATGCGCTGGGCCCTGCAGCCCAGCTCTGTCTCCCCAGGCCACCCCGACCCTGGGGTGCCACTGAAGGAAGCATTGGTATCCACCCACTGCCCTTCAAAAAATGGACCTGGGCTGATGGGAATAGGCCATCCCATGTGGGCAAGGGGTATGGGGCGGAGGCTTGGCCTCCCGGCCTGATTATCCGTGACCCACTAGGTGGTCCGCGCAAAGGAGCGCCTGGATGAGGAACTCAAAATCCAGGCCCAGGAGGACAGAGAAAAAGGGCAGATGCCCCATACGTGACTGCTCGGCTCCCCCCGCCCACCCCGCCGCCTCTAATTTATAGCTTGGTAATAAATTTCTTTTCTGCATTTCTCGTTTGCATGTGTCCAGATTCCAGAAGGCAGGTTGCTCCTCCTGCCGGTTGCAGGGCTGTGGGTGCTGGAGATGGGGAGGCAGCAGCCTTTAACAGCCCAGAAGGGCCGGGCTGGGTAAGGTTGGCGGGCAGCCAGCCAGTGGGCTCCAGCTGAGTCCTGTCACGTACAGGATGCAGCCGCTCCTGCTTCCACAGCACCCGTGCCAGGGTGAGGCTCCCTCCCATAGCGCCCCTGCCCCTCCCACGGGGTGGCGGTCTCCTGGCCCCAGAGCTCTTGTCGGCAGCCACCCTGTCCCTGGGGCAGGTTTGAACCTAGCACCTCAGTAATCTGGGCACAGTACCCCAGAATGTGGCTGGGGGGAGAAGGGCCTTTGCCCACCACTCTCCAAAGCCGCAGCGGGCAGTAGTGGGCTGAGGACTTGGACCTTGGGATGCTCCGCCTGGAATCTTCTGTCTCAGTTCCTGTCACCTGTGCGCCCTCAGCACCTACCTCCTTCCCAACCTTCCAGTTCCTGCTCTAAGCGGCAGATTGAGAGGGAGGGGCACCTGCAGGGTCGGGGAGAAAGCCCGGATCAGGCCTGCAGGGGCTCAGGGCAGTGGTGGCCTCATGTCAGGGCCGGGTTCCTGGCACATCCACGACATACAAGCCATCTTTGCAACTCACTTTTATTGTTTCTTTATAAACTTCCTCTCCCATGGAGGAATATATTGTTATAGTCATTAGCTTATCTCTTTTTTTAAAACTCTATGCTAACAGCAATGGAGCCAAGAGGAGGAAAACATAAGCTACGATAGAAAGGCACTTAGAACCTGTTAAAATACTGACGTCCTGGAATGTGCAACAACACACCAATGACAACCACAAAAAGTACACCGGCCCTGCCGAGCCTGGTCCGTCACCGAGTCGCATGCTGAGCTCGTCGGCCTTCCAGTGCCCTGTTCCTCCGCTCTGCTCAAGTCGCAAACCCATGACCCCGCCAGGGACTTAAGGCCTGGGGCCCTCACAGGGGTGGGGGGTGCTCAGGGCCTGGGTGGGGCCCGAAGAAAGGAGACCAGCTCCCTCCTACCTTGCTCATAGCCCCTTCGAGGGGCAGAGCCAGTGTGGCTGGGCCCTGTCAGGGCTGGAGTCCAAAGCCCAGTGGCAAGGTGGGCCGGGTCAGGGTGACCCCTCTGGGACAGAAGGGCAGTCCGGGAGAGGGTGGGGTCAGCAGAGCTGCCAGAGGACCTGCAGGGCCACTAAGGACCCCAAGGCTGTCCGGGCAGCTGCCTCGTTTTACAGATGGGGAGGTGGAAGGGCCTGGCCACTCAGAGGCCTGGTGACAGGGCAGGCCTAGAAGCCAGAACTCCCAGCTGCCAGGTGGGAGAGGGAGCAGGGAGAGGCCCCAGATGGGGGGTGCATGGCTGCGTCCATCCCTCAGGGCGTCCTGGGATGGGACTGGGGCACAAGGCCCTCCAGCACCACCCTTAAGTGGTTCTGGCCCCTGCCAGGGTCCCTCTGAGTGGCACAGAACCTGGGGGGGCCCACTGGGTGTTAGGGGTGGGGAAGTGCCTCTGAGAAAGCGGCCCAGCAGGGAAAAGCCAGAGGAAGCAACGTGTCATGGGTCCAGCACCCTCCTCCAGCCACTGCTTCCCTCAAGGCCTTCAGTCCACAGCCTCCAGAAAGCTCCCAACACAGCACTGACTGGGAGCCCCCTCCCCTGCATGCTGTCACTTGGAGCCCCCAGACCAGGAGCTGTGTCCCAGCCTGTGGTCGGTCGTCCCCAGCCAGCCTCCCCCTTCCTGTTACAGGACCAAGGACCCAAAGGCCTCTGCAGGGGGCGCTGCCCAGGCCAGGCCCAGCGGGGGTAGAAGGAGGAAGACGGGGCGCTGGGCCTGGCCCCACATGCTCCCTGAGCCAGGGCCCAGGTCACTCAGTATCTTGGCACCACAGCTGGCCTGGCACCTCCCCTTGCCAGCTCAGGGGCCCTCGGACCTGCTTCCCACGCTCCCAGGGTGCCCCAAAAGGTAGAGGGAGGAGACCCTGGGGTGCAGGGGTGGAGTGGCCAGCTATCCCGTCTGGTACTGCAGGCCTGGCCTGGGGTGAGGACGGCGGCTGCAGAGCGGGCCTTCTCCTAACTAGTGGGAGGCGCCTTGTCCTGGGGGGCATGCTTCTACCTGGGGCTTTGCAGGGGCCTGCATCTGTCTTGCTTTCCCTCTGGAGGCAGGGTCAGAGGGAAAGGGGTCCAAGGAGCCCCCAGGGCAGGGGCTGGGTAAGCCTAGGAGGGAAGGGCAGGCCTCTGGTCCCTGGGGGCTCCTCTCAGGAAGGGGGAGCCTGGTGCTAGCAGGGAGGGCAGATGCCACCCCACCCACCCCCTCTGCTGGGAGAGGGCAACTTGCCATGGGTGGTCACTAGGTGAGGGAGGTGCCAGGGTGGGAGAGGGAAACGGGAGGAGGTCGGGCAGGGGAAAGCCTCTCAGAAGCTGAGGGCCAGGTGGTGGGGGACAGACAGGAGCGAGGCTTCAGCACCCAGGAGCACAGCTCTCCCTGCATGACAGGCCAGGTCCCCACCCGGGGGCTGGGAGGCCAGCCATGAATGACCTAGCACCATCCTTGCTCCCGGCGGGCTGGGCTGGGGCTGCCCGGGCAGTAGGACATTATTGCTATTTCACAGAAGAGTTTCCGTTCGTCGGGGGCAGTGCCGGGAGCTGCCGGGGGGGCACCACAACTGTCCGCAGGATGGGCTCAGTTCACCACAGCCGGTTTGAGCAGCACCGAGCCCGGCGGGATGACCACCCAGCCAGGGGCCAACGCCTCTGGGCTGCTGGCAGCTGAGTTGACGCCCGTGGACAGGTCCAGCACGGTGCCTGGCAGCAGGGGGAGTCCATCGGGGCTTGGCCGGGAGCAGCTGCTCTCCGTCCTTTCAAGGGGCGTCTTGTGGCCCTCCATGCCCAGGGCCCTGGTGGGCACCGACCCACGCCCCTTCTCCCCCTCGGCCTTGCCACCAGCTGCGCCAGCAAGGAGGGAGACCACAGGCAAGCCCAGTCCGCCAGCCCCAAAGGGCGAGGGCAGCAGCGGGTTCTTGGCCAGATTGAGAGGCAGGACGGGGCCTGGCAGCCCAGGGCCCATGCCCCCCCCACCCCCACTGCCCCCACCGTTGCCACAGGCCAGGGCACTGAGGTCAAGGGGGCCGGGGGCCAGGGGTAGGGGTAAGCCGGGCAGGCCAGGGCCTCCAAAGAGGGCAGCTGGGTTGGGGATGATGATCTGGGCCCCACTGACATAGGGGCCGCCGTCGGGGGCGGGCAGTGGCGGCTTGGGGGGTGGGCGCAGCTGCAGGAGCTCTTGCTGCTCGTGGGACACAAAGTGGCCATGGGCCTTGATGTGCTTGCGCAGTGAGCTGGGGTCCGTGTAGCGCTTGTGGCAGCCGGGCATCTTGCAGTAGTAGGGCTTGTCCACGTAGTGGGTGCGCGTGTGCTTAAAGCGGTCACTGGAGTTGGAATAGCGCTTGTTGCAGCCCTCGTAGGGGCAGACGTAGGGCTTCTCACCTGCAGGGTGGTGCAGTGCAGTGCCGCCATGAGGGGTCTCTCCCCTTCCTGGGTCTCACCCCATGCACTCAACATTTCCCCGGGCCAAGCACTCCCTGGGAACATAGATGCCCCAATTCTGGGGGCAGGGGGCATCCCCAGCACATGGCATGAGATCTGCCCCCAGGCAGGGCACAGAGGCTGAAAACTCAGCCTGGTTGACTCCAGCTCTGCCTAGCCTCGCCCTGCACCCTCTGCTACAGAGGATGTGCCTTTCAGCAGCAGAACATGGCCTTGGAGGCCGGGCCCGGTGGCTCACGCCTGTAATTTCAGCACTTTGGGAGGCCAAGGCAGGCAGATCACTTGAGGCCAGGAGTTCCAGACCAGCAGGGCCAACATGGTGAGACCCCGTCTCTACTAAAACTACGAAAACTAGCTGGGTGTGGTGGCAGGTGCCTGTAATCCCAGCTACCTCAGAGGCTGAGGCAGGAGAATCACTTGAACCTGGGAGGCAGAGGTTGCAGTGGGCCAAGATCATGCCACTGCACTCCAGCCTGGGTGACAGAGTGAGTCTGTCTCAAGAAAAAAAAGACACCATGGCCTTGGAGATCACATCCTGGCACGAGGCGCCCAGCGTGGGCCTGGCCACAGGGAGTGCTGCCTGGGCGCTACTGCCCTCACTCAACAAATGGCTGAAGGTTCACCAGGCATCTTCTGCTGCCCTGGCCAGAGCAGGGGGCCACATGTAGTGACTGACCTCCTGATACATGGCTCTCCACCTGGAGATGTGCTGCCAGGGTGAAATAAACACCAGGAAAAAACATACACATCAGCTCCTTGAGGCTTTGTCATGAAATGAAGAACTTCAATATCTCACTGATTTGTCTTTAATAATGAATTGATAACACGTTGGATGTACCGGGGTCAACGAACCATATTACAATTAATTTCACCCATTTATTTTTGCTGTGTTTTATGCAGCGATTAGGAAATGTAAAATTATGTCTGTGGCTCTGACAACCAGAGCTGTCCTGGTATGGGCCTGGGCTGTAGTGAGGAGTGAAGCCGACCTGGCCTCTGCGATCACAGAGGTGGCATTAGTCAGAAGATACCCACGGGAACCAGGAAATGGCATTGGTGCTCCAAGAGCAGGTGCTGGGTGGGGGTCTGACCCCCAGGGGATGCTTCCCCTAGCAAACTGCATTGGAAAAGGGACCCCTGGGCGATGACATCAACCCTTATCTCTGAGGCCCGGGATTTACTTAACAGTCCCCTCCCCCTGGGGACCTGCCCAGCCGGTCTCAGCTGAGCGCCCCCTTCATGGGCCAAGCCGCCCGGCCCCGGCCTCTTACCTGTGTGCGACCGGTTGTGGATCTTCAGGTTCTCCAGGCGGGAGAAGCTCTTGCTGCAGGTCGGACAGCGGTGTGGCTTCTCGTTGGTGTGTGTGCGGATGTGGATGAGCATCTTGTACCTGCTCCAGGGAGGGCGGGGGGCACGGCTCAGCTCACTGGAGACCCCAGTCCTCCCTCTACCCCTCTCTCCCCCACCTCACCTGGCGTTGAAACCTCGGCCATGGCGGGCGCAGCCCTCCCAGTGGCAGCAGTACCCCGCATCCTTCTCGGGCTTGACATGGTAATCGTTGACATGGTCCACCAGGTCTTGCAGGAGCTCAAAGAGCTGGTTACACTGCGGAGGATGGGAAGTGTTCTGAGCCCATGCGGGGTGACCTGCCCCAGACTCCACACTACTCTTGCTGGCCCCCACTCACCTTGGCCCAGCGACACACCAGCTGCTTGGGCAGGGGCAGGTCTGGCGAGAGGCACTTGTCCTTGGGAGGGGTAAGGAAGGAGGAGGCAGGCAGGTGCAGGGCCCCCCCGGAGCCGAGGGGCAGGAAGAACTGGAAGGAGCTGGGGACACCATCCAAATAGCGCAGTGGCTGGAAGTCCTGGGGTGCGAGGGGAGGGCTAGTCAAGGTCCTGCTGGCCCAGAGCCCCCCGTCCCATCGGTAGTGGACTGAATGGTGTCCCCAAACAGAGACATTCAGGTCCTCTTCTCCCCAGCCCCTACCTGTGCATGTGGCCTTATTTGGAACTAGGATCTTTGCAGATGTAATCAAGTTAACATGAGGTCACACTAGATTAGGGTGGGCCCAACACCCAGTGACTGGTGTGTTTTAAATTTTTATTTTCTTAATTAAAAAAAATATATAGCCAGGTGCGGTGGCTCACGCCTGTAATCTCAGCACTTTGGGAGGCTGAGGTGGGCGGATCACTTGACGTCAGGAGTTCAAGATCAGCCTGGCCAATATGGTGAAACCCCATGTCTGCTAAAAATACAAAAATTAGCCAGGCGTGATGGCACATGCCTGTAATCTCAGCTATTTGGGAGGCTGAGGCAGGAGAATTGCTTGAACCTGGGAGGCAGAGGTTGCAGTGAGCCGAGATCATGCCACTGCACTCCAGCCTGGGTGACAGAGCTAGACCCTGTTTAAAAAAAAAAAAAAAAAAGGCCGGGCACAGTGGCTCACGCCTGTAATCCCAGCACTTTGGGAGGCCGAGATGGGCGGATCAGTTGAGGTCAGGAGTTCAAGACCAGCCTGACCAACATGGAGAAACCCTGTCTCTACTAAAAATACAAAAGTAGCCAGGTGTGATGGTGTGTACCTGTAGTCCCAGCTTGGGAGGCTGAGGCAGGAGAATCGCTTGAACCCGGGAGGCGGAGGTTGCAGTGAGCTGAGATCCGGGCCACTGGCCTCCAGCCTGGGCAATGAAGCAAGACTCTGTCTCAAAAAAATAAATAGAGATGGGGTCTTGCTATGTTGCCCAGGCTAGTTTTGAACTCCTGGGCTCAAGCGATCTTCCCACTTTAGCCTCCTAAAGTGCTGGGGTTACAGGTGTGAGCCACCGTGCCCGGCCATGACTGGTGTCTTTATAAGAGAAACCAGAGAGAGATTCGGACACAGAGGGACAAAGACCGTGTGAAGACAGGGCAGAGCCTGGAGTGAAGCAGCTACCAGGCTAGAGTGCCAGGCATTTCCAGAAGCTGCCAGAAGGCAGGAGAGAGGCAGGGAAGGTTCTCCCCTAGAGCCTTCCAGGTAGACTCCAGCCTCCAGAATTATGAGGGGTAACACATCTGTTTTTTAAACCACTCAGTGTTGGGGTACTTTGTCATGGCAACCCCAGGAAACCAGTCCACCCCTCTCTCCGGAACTCTCACCCCTCCTTACCGAGGCACTGGGCACTGGAGGCAGGTCCCCGTTGCCCTGGCGCTCGGGGGACAGCGAGCTGCTGCCATTGGGGGAGTCCAGCCCAGATGGTGGTGACAGGCTGAGGTCCACGAGAGGGGCTGCTGAAAAGCGTCCCTCCACCTTCTCGGGGAACTTGGAGTTCAGCAGGAAGCCTGAGGGAGAGGCACAGTTCAGGGTGTGCTGGAGTGTAGAGTCCCAGTGGGCCAGGTACTCCTGCCTCCGAACCCCCACTGTGACCTTGGGAGCAGACACCAGCCATGCCCCCAGACCACACGAATGTGAGGAGCAGCCTGTGGAGCTGACAGGTGTGTGACACCACCCACCACCTCTGAGCTTTACCAGCCGCCAGAGCTTGGCCCCCGTGAGCCGGGGAGGGGGGAAGTGCCCGCTTTGCAGACGGGAATGGTCTGGCACGCAGGGTTAATAACAGAACAGGACTCGAACCCAGGGCCCCTGGGTCCCTGTCAGACGGGCAGGTAGGAACCTTTCTAGCTTTTCCCAGGCCCCTTCCTGCCTCAGTGTTCCCTTCTGTAAAGTGGCAGGTTCGGGCTGGGCTGCTCCCATAGCCTTCCCCTTCAGACAAGCGGTGAATCTGGTTTTCGGGTGACTCTGCTCTTGGAGGCAGGGCAGAAGTGGTGCCCACCACCCTGGGCCCAAGCACCGGGAATCCCTGAGAGGCACCTCCTGGGCTCAGACCCAGCCTCTACTGCCCAGGTTGGCCAGCGGCACCACCCCACAGCCTAGGGTGCAGGTCCTGGGACTACTGCCGCTCCTTCTGAATGCCTGGTTGCCCGACCAGCTCTGTTCCAGATCTGCCTAGAGGCCTCAGTTTGCATCGTGTGCCAGCCACGTGAGCTGGGCACTGCAGCTCCCACCTCCCTGCAGACATACGATGCTGGGCGGATGGAAGGACAAGCGTGCGGGCTTCCCATGAACCGGAAGCCGAGAGGGGCTGCAGCTACATGCTGGTGGACACACTTGGCCATTCTCCCTGTCACCATGACTGGATCAGGGCTAAGTCCCCCTGCCCTGCCCAGGGCCAGTACCTGAGGGCGGGGAGCCTGGAGAGCCAGGTGTGGGGCTGTCATCCACCAGGCCCAGCTCCCTGTGCAGAGCACGGGGCCGGACCACACCCAGCGTCCTCTCCCGCTTCTCTCTTGCCGCCCGGAGCTTGGTGATACTCAGCTTCAGGTCGAGCGGCTCGTCCAGGGAGTGCATGGTGAGGGGGCCGGAGTTGGAGGTGGCAGCAGGCAGTGGGCTCCCAGCTGGTCTTCACGCAGGAACCTGGGGAAGGACAGGAGCTGTGCTGTGGCACTGAGACCCCAGGCTTCTCCTCGGGCTGTACTCATGACAGTCTAACAGGAGCAGGAGCAGGGGGCAGTGTGAGGTTGTCTCCTGGGTAGGGAGACCCTCCGAGCGACCTGGCCGGCAGCTATCATGGGGGGAGAGCCAACAGCCTCCTCAGAGATTCCGCATCTGCTTCCCATGAGTCTCTTGGGGAAGACAAAGCTCACATTCTTCATTTTGCCATGAAACTGAATTTTATTTGCTGACAGAGTCTCGCTCTGTCACTCAGGCTGGAGTGCAAGTGGCACAATCATAGCTCACTGCAGCCTCGACCTCCTAGGCTCAAGCGATCCTCCCACCTCAGCCTCCCTGGTAGCTGGGACTACAGGCAGGCACCGCTCCTGGCTAATTAAAAAAAAAAATTTTCTTTTTTGTAGAGATCGGGTCTCTCCATGTTGCCCAAACTGATCTCGAACTCCTGGCCTCAAGCGATCCTCCTGCCTTGGCCTCCCAAAACGCTGGGACTACATGCCTGAGCCACCACGCTTGGCGAAACTGCGTCTTTTACAGGCATCGCCTCAGATCGCAGAGCTCAGAAGTGGAAAAACTATCAGATTTGCCAAGACCAGCTCGGTCGGGAGACTAATCCGGCGGCGCTAGAGGAATTAAAGACACATACGCAGAAATATAGCGGTGTGGGGTGGGAAATCAGGGGTCTCACAGCCTTCAGAGCTGAGAGCCTTGAACAGAGATTTACCCACGTATTTATTGACAGCAAGCCAGTCATTAGCATAGTTTCTATAGATTATAGACTAACTGAAAGTATTCCTTATGGGAAATAAAGGGATGGGTCTGGCTAGTTATCTGCAGCAGGAGCGTGTCCTTAAGGCACAGATCACTCATGCCATTGTTTGTGGTTCAAGAACGCCTGTGGCCGGGCGCAGTAACTCACACCTGTAATCCCAGCACTTTGGGAGGCCAAGGCGGGGAGATCACGAGGTCAGGAGATAGAGACCATCCTGGCTAACACGCTGAAACCCCAACTCTATTAAATAACAAAAAAAAAAATTAGCCAGGTGTGGTGGCGGGCGCCTGTAGTCCCAGCTACTCGGGAGGCTGAGGCAGGAGAATGGTGTGAACCCGGGACGCAGAGCTTGCAGTGAGCCGAGATCGCACCACTGCACTCCAGCCTGGGCGACAGAGCAAGACTCCGTCTCAAAAACAAACAAACAAACAAAAAGCCAAACGCTTTTAAGCAGTTTTTCCGCCCTGGGTGGGCCAGGTGTTCCTTGCCCTCATTCTGGTAAACCTACAACCTTCCAGCGTGGGCGTCATGGCCATCATGAACATGTCACAGCGCTGCAGAGATTTTATTTATGGCCAGTTTTGGGGCTAGTTTACAGCCAGATTTTGGGGGGCCTGTTCCCAACAAGATTCAAGGCCTGAAGCCAGATCTCCCGGGAACTGGCTAGCCGTGTCCTAACAGCCTTTTCTGACAGAGCAGGAGCCATGCTCCGGACTCCCGCCCTGTTTGACCCCAAAGATCTAGAACCAGGCCAGGGGGCAAGGAGCATCCTCTGAAATGGCCGGCAGGTAGCCACGCTCACCACCAAGGAACTCGCACCAGGCAAACCGAGAAAGTGGGCACAGCCAGGGGCCCCACCGCCCTCCCTGCAGAGGCCTAGAGGAGAGGCATCGCAAGCCAGGGAGCCCCAGGGCGCTGGGTCGCCACCAGGGGGCAGCTGGGGATTGTGGCCTGGCCTGGCCAGCTGGGGCAGGGTTGGTGGAGTTGACCAGCTGTATCTGGCGGTTAATATATAAATATGTAGAAATTATTTTTTACTGGAGATGGTATTCTTTTAGTATCACTTCCCATGCTGTAATTTTCATCATTTTTCTTAGAATTTCTCACTGGTTTAATTTTCATTTTCTTTTTGGAAATGGAGTCTCTCAGTCACCCAGGCTGGAGTGCAGTGGTGTGATCTGGGCTCACTGCAACCTCTGCCTCCCGAGTTCAAGCGATTGTCCTGCCTCAGCCTCCCAAGTAGCTGGGATTACAGGTGTACACCATCACACCCAGCTAATTTTTCTATTTTTAGTAGCGACAGCGTTTCACCATGTTGGCCAGGCTGGTCTCAAACTCCTGACCTCAGGTGATCTGCCCACCTCGGCCTCCCAAAGTGCTGTGATTACAGGTGTGAGCCACCTCGCCCCACCTGGTGTAATTTTCCTCACATGCAAATGATCTAACAGTATCCACCGACCCAAGAACAAGGTCAACACTTCATTCTAAACCCAAACTTCACATTCAGAGCAGCAATCTTTTCCTACGCGGTTAAACACGACATTTCCTTGCGTTTGTTCATTGGGATTATTACAACTTGAAAATCTAACTGCCGCACAATCACGCTGTGAGATCCCGTCTTTCGCGGTATTGGGGTCTTTACTCAATACCAAAGGGCGGCCATGGTGGACATAACTACTACATGGTGAAATACTTTGGATATGCCCCCGTGTGTTTCCCTGGGGGCTAGCATAGCCTGTGAGTGGGGAGAGATGCTGTCCACAGGGCAGGACAGGAAGGCAGCTCCCACGTCCTCCCCTTCTGCCCTGACTCTCCAAGCAAGTAGGGCATAAAATGGTCCCCCCTTCACTGGAGATCCTCTGCTTCTAGGGACACATCCCCAGACCCCACCCCAACATGGCTGACACGGGGGTCTCAGCACAGGGGGGCTGCCCACCTCTCCCAAGGCTGCATCATCAGAGCCAGGGCAGCTGCACTAGGCCGTGGGACCTAGGTCTGCGATTCGCCCCTGTTGGAGCTGTCAGATTGTTTGAATTTGCCTCCCAGGCCATGCATGGGCCAGGGGCTCCCAGAGATGCGGTGGGGTAGGGACCACACCCCCGCTAGCAGGTGGGTGGGTGACAGTGATGGATGGACCAGGGTCCCCTCCACTGTTTCTCTGGCTGGACAGGGAGTTGCCCTCTGCCTGAACCCCTGCCAGTTCCATCTGTCTATCTGTGTGTCTATCGTCCTGCTACCTGTTTATTTTTAGACACAGGCGCAATCCAGCCTCCCCGAAGCTCCTCTGTGCTGGAAGCCTGGACGGGGAGGAAGGAAGTAAATATTTATGCTGATGAAGAATTCAGGAGCCAGGAAGGGCTGGTGGCCTGGTCCCTTGGCTGGCCTGGGGCCACAGGCCTCCCCACAGCCTCTGTCCTCACCCCCACCCCCACCCTTCCGGAGAAGGGGACCACAAGGGCAGGATGGTTTGGGAACTGGGAATTCCAGCTGACGGGGACACTCACTGGCAGCGCTGCCCAAGCAACATCCTTTGGCACCTGCCCCACTGCCTTCCCAGGACAGATGGGGACTCGGGGAGCCAGGGGCCCTGAGTCACCTTGTTCTTAGGGCCTGCAGGGGACACTTCCCCAGGAGGAGCCTGTCTCCCCAGGTGGGGCCAGCCACACGGCCCAAAGCCAGAGGGAGGACTCCAATGCACCCCCTTCATCAGCAGGTCCAGTCCCCAGGGGCACCCCCACACACTTCCTGCCACTGGGTCCTGCCAGGGAGGCAGGGGTTCATTCCAATGCAGGCCAGAGCCCGGCACACGGCCTGCGTCCCTGCCCCCGGGAAAGGAAGGAGCTGCCCCCAGCCCTACACCTCCCAGCATCCCTGTTCCAGGCCCTCCCCACCCAGAGTTTTTCCTCCAATGGAGGCCCCACCCCAGAGGGGAGACGGTCAGTGACCCTGCTTCAGTTCTGACCTTGGCCAGGCTTAAAGCCTCCCCTTCCACCCCCGCCCCGACCGGCAGCAGCCAGTTCTGGGCTCTGCTCTGTGCTTTTGTTCCCGGCTGGGTGAAGGGGGCAGGCGAGAGCTAGGTTCCTGCTCTCCTGAAAGCCTCGGAGGCCCAGAGCGGGGAGCAGCGGGCCTGCAACCAGGGAACCCTGAGTGAGTGCCCATGAGCGGGTGGCCGTGGCTCTCCCCAGCGTAAGGCCGACAGCCTGGCTCTGGACAAGCTCAGCCAGAGGCCTGGGTGCTAATTACTGCGGGGTCCCGAGGGCAGGAGCCGGCTCTCGGTCAGGTGGGGGCACCCCGTGGATGCTCCCCGGGCGCAGCGCAAGGCCCGCCGGCCCCACGCCCCTCTGCGCCTCCTGGTGGAGCCTTCCGTTCCTCAGTTTCCCCCCGGTGGGACAGCGCAGCGTGGAGGGTGCACAGAGCCCAGGGCCGCGTCTCTCGAGCACTCAGCCTGGGATGCGCCCAGGGCAGCGCCCCCACACGCAAGGGCCCAGGGGTTGGGGCGAGGGCTGGGGTTGTCGGTGGGGGGTGGGGGTGGCCGCGGAACCGGCCGCTGCGCGGCTCCTCCAGCTGCAAAAGGAACTAATTAGAGCGGGGCGAGCGGGAGGAAGCGGCTGCGGCGAGGGAGGAAGCGCGCGGGGGCGGCCGCGGGGACCACCGGGACGGCGGGGGCTTCGGGGGACCGGGCCCTGCCCTTCCCACCCACCGCAGGGCGGGGGTCACCCGGAGGGTGGGCTGGGCGGGCCCCCCGCCACCCTGGCCGAGACAATGGCTGCTATTGTGTGCCCGACCGCAGCCCGAGCAGACGGCCCCCAGCTGCAGCGCTGGCGGAGCCACCCGGCCCCCCGCCCGCAGTCCCCGGCCAGGCCAGGTAGCCAAGGATCCCGCCCTGGCAGGCGGGGCCGGCCACTGTCCCCACCCTCCCTACTGGAAGGCACGGGGCGACCCAGCACACTCAGGGAAACTAAGGCCCGGAAAAGACAGTCTCTTCCAGGGCCCCTTGGCCTGGGGTGGGTCATACACCAGAGGGGGTAAAGGACCATTAGGTACTGACCACGTGTCAGGCCCATCTGTCCATGGATTCAATGACCCCTCTACAACCCTGCCTGGCAGTAGCTGCTGTCATTTTCCCGATCTCACAGATGGGGAAACTGAGGCTTGAGATCACTAGGCTAATAGGGAGCTGGTTGGAGTCCTGCTCTGAATAAAGCTCCTTCTAGGCCAGGCGCGGTGGCTGACGCCTGTAAGCCCAGCACATTGGGAGGCCGAGGCAGGAGAATCCCTTGAGTGCAGGAGTTCTACACCAGCCTGGGCAACATGGAAAAATCCCGTTTGAAGTAAAAAAATCAGCCGGTGGCCGGGCACGGTGGCTCATGCCTGTAATCCCAGCACTTTGGGAGGCCGAGGGCGGACCACCTGAGGTCAGGAGTTCCAGACCAGCCTGGCCAACATGGCGAAACGCTCTCTCTACTAAAAATACGAAAATTAGCCGGGCGTGGTGGCAGGTGTCTGTAATTCCAGCTACCCGGGAGGCTGAGGCAGGAGAATCGCTTGAACCAGGGAGGCAGAAGTTGCAGTGAGCTGAGATCGCGCCACTGCACTCCAGCCTGGGCGACGGAGTGAGACTCCATCTCGGAAAAAAAAAAAAAAAAAAAAATAGCTGGGCGTGGAAGCAGGGACCTGTGGTCCCAGCTACTCGGGAGGCTGAGGTGGGAGGATCGCCTGAGCCTGGGGAGTTTGAGGCTGCAGTAAGCCGAGATCACACCACTGCACTCCGGCCTGTCTCAAAAAACAACAAAAAAAGCTCCTCCTTTCCTGCTTGGGGGAGGGTGGCTGGCAGGCCCTAAGCCTGTGGAGGTGCAGGGTGCACTGGGGGGCTGTGTGCACCCACCCTGAGAACCACTTGGTCTCTTTGCAGAAGGAAGCGGGTCCTCTGTAAGATGGGGCTGCATCCCTGCCCCGCTCCCAGCAGCATGGGGTCAGGTGAGTGACCAGCGTGGCAGTGTTGTCAAGGGCAATGTGAGGAACACCCCTTGCCTTGGAGTGTCCTGCGAGTGCGCTTTTGGTCAGCAGTGGCCATTTAGCTGAGAACTTGGAGACAAGGCCTCAAGATGCATCTCTCAGAAGTCTATGTGGTCACCTTTGTTTTTTTTGTTTGTTTCTTTTTTGAGATGGAGTCTCACTCTGTCACCCAGGCTGGAGTGCAGTGGCACGATCTCAGCTCACTGCAAGCTCCGCCTCCCAGGTTCACAGCATTCTCCTGCCTCAGCCTCCTGAGTTGCTGGGACTACAGGCGCCCACCACCACACCCGGCTAATTTTTTTGTGTGTATTTTTTTAGTAGAGATAGGGTTTCACCGTGTTAGCCAGGATGGTCTCGATATCCTGACCTCGTGATCCGCCCACCTCGGCCTCCCAAAGTGCTGGGATTACAGGCGTGAGCCACCAAGTCTGGCCTTTTTTTTTTTTTTTTTTTTTTTTTTTAAGACACAGAGTCTTGCTCTGTCTCCCAGGCTGGACTGCAGTGGCGTGGTCATGGCTAACTGCCGCCGAGGCTCAAGAGATCCTCCTGCCTCAGCCTGCAGAGCAGCTAGGACCACAGGTGCACCACCACCACACCCAGCTCATTTTTAAATTTTTTATTTTGCAGAGATGGGGGGGTCTCCCTGTGTCATCCAGGCTGGTCTCGATCTCCTGGACTCAAGCCATCCTCCTGTCTCTGCCTCCCAAAGTGCTAGGATTACAGGCAGGAGCCACCACGCCCAGCCCGTCATCTTCTAATTTAACAGAAAGAGGAAGTGAGTCCCTGGTCACTCCTGAACCAGTCAGAGAAACCCTGGTCTGTGGGTGTCCCTGAGTCTATTACTGGAACCATCACTTCAGCAGTATGGTCTTACAGATGGGGAAACTGAGGGCTGAAGGGGGAGGCATCCAGCCCAGGCTGCACAAGTAGGTGGCAAACCCACAACCAGAAGCCACGGGCAAGCAGCATGAGGACAGTACCCATAGCCAGGTGCGGGTACTGTGAAGGCAGGTGCTGTTTCATCCCCATTTTACAGATGCAAAAACTGAGGCTCAGGGGAGTGAAGTGACCCATCCAAGGTCCCACAGCTTGTCCGTGGCAGAGCTGGGTTTCAACCCCAGGTAAGTCCAGAAGCCATGTTCACTATTGGCCCTTCCTATGTCAGGGGCTCAGGCTTGGTACCCCCTCCCCGCCCAGGGACTTGTGGGGCTAGGAGGGATAGCAGAGCAGGCAGTGGGTGGGCGCTGGAGGGGCTGGCTGGGGTGGGGGGCCCACCAGGAGGCTTGGAGAGCCGAGGGCAGATCTGCTGCCAAAGCAAACGGCCCCACAGCCCCAGATTCCTGGGAACCAGCTGCGGCTCCCTGCTCTGGCCAAGAGCTCCACCCTCCTTGGCCGCCCAGCAGCAGGGGCTGGCGGGCAGGGGCAGGGCCTGCTGGGGGCCCCAGGCAGGAGGGCTCGTCCTCTCAGGGCCCCCCTTCCTGACCAGGCAACAGAACCGGACTCGAAATCTGGGGCCCCACCCGGCTCTGCTACTCCCTTTGCGTGTCTCTTCAGTCTGCGCCTCATCCCCCTCATCCCAAATGGGATTATATAGGACCCCCATGTTGGGTTTCAGGGAGAAACCAATGCAGTGCTGCACATCCAATCACTATTGAGTGCTTCTCCTTCGTCCGTAACGTTCAGCACGGAGAACAGTGCCTGGCACATAGTAGGTGCTTAATAAAACGTGCTGAATGAATCGTCGCCAGTGTGCATGAGTCCATAGCCTTTGGCCCATCTACCGCTGTGAGGGCAGCTGAGTGGGGACTGGCCATCCCCTCTATGCCACTGCAGTCTCACCCTGAACCAGGAGAACCTGGGCTCTGCCACCTGCCAGCCAGCGTGCACCCTAAACAAGCCTATGCCCCTCAAAGAACCTCAGGCCTCTTCAATCCTGGGGAGTGACCACAGCTGGCCCTAACCACCTTCCAGAGCCCAACTGCATCAAAGAAAGAGCACTACAAGGCCCCGGGAAGGCCTGATCAACCCTGGAAGGAGCTGGCCGCAGACAGGCCTCCTCCCAGGACTGGAGGGGGAGGAGCTTATCCTGAGGCCTGGCCCAGCAGATCCCAGGAGAGGGGCCAGGGCAGGCGGCACTTCCTGGAAGAGTGGGGGATTCACCGTCCCTGGGAACCTTTGGCTCAGTAGGCAGCCCCTCCCCCTCCCAAGACGGGGCACTCAGCCAGCACCCCCGGACCTTTTGGGAGGGCAGACCCCCTCCCGGGGTGGGAACACAAGGGGTCCGAGGTGACCCAGCCAGGGCTGACCTCTGCCCTCTGCCGTGGGGTCCTCGGGAAAGCACCTGAAGATGGGATGTGCCAGGGATCTTTTTTCTGCGTGTTCACAGAGTGTGCCCCAGGGCCAGGCTGCCTGGTTACAGCCCCCTGTGCCACCCCTGGCTGTGGGAACTCAGAAAGGCCCTGCTGTCTCTGAGCCTTGGTTTCCTTGTAGGTAACAGACACCACGGCAATGGTCCCTGGGACTCAGGGCATCTTGCAAGGGAGGGCCTTGTCCTCATGCCTGCCATAAAGAAGCTGCCAGCTACTGGTAACCTAAAGGATTCTTGTTTCCGGCCCCAGGCTGGGGGTTCCCTGCACAGCAACTTGGGCCTGCCAAGGTCACCCAGATAATTCAGGCAGAGCTGAAGCTGGAAGACGGGCCGGAGGGCTTCCCTGGCCTGCACCAGCCCGGGCTTCCTAGGAGATGCCCCACCAGAGGCACTTCCTTCTCCAACGCCAGCAGGGAGGGTGACACCGGGCTCCGGGAGCCCCGGCACACACACGCACACTCACACAGATGGCCATGGCAGTCCAGCTGCAGGGCCGGCCTGGCACAGAGGCCTCCCCATCCTGGTGGCTCCGGGCCCCTGCTGCAGTGGCCTCCACCCCCCCGCTGCCTGCCCGCTGCTGCACCTTTGCACAACTATGTCTGGTATTTTCCTGTCTGCCCAGCTTTGGGGGGGTGCTTGGAGCTATGATCACCGCCTGCACCTGGGCCCCAGCCAGAGGAAAGCCCGCCCCGCAGCCCCCACACCTGCCCACCCACCCGGGCTGGGAGGGGAGGGGACCAGAGCACTGGGCCCTGCCACCCAAATCCCTGGGAGGGGCTGGCACCAGGGAGCGAGACAGGGATGCACGCCCAGCAAGGCTGGGGCACAGACAGCCCAGGCCCTGCCAGGCGGCACTGCCATTCTCAGCAGACCCAGCCAGAGCTATCTGAGGCCAGCAAAGGGATGGGCCAGTGTAGCACAGGACATGAGCAGGCACCCACAGCACCCCCGGATGTACAGACACCTGTGCACAAATGTGGCACACACAGGACATCACAGTAACCCCTTGCCCCAGTGTCGGGGCCAGGACTCAGGAGCCTTGGCTTCTGGGGGAGAGCAGGGATGAGGCCGGGTCCCCAGAGCGAAGGAAACACCGCGCCTCCCAAGCCACGCCTGGCTGCAGGCAGATCCCACAAGGAGCTCCTAAGTCCTGGGGGGTCGGGGCAGGCCCGTGGCCCACGCCTCCCCTGCCTGGGGCCAGGTACCAGGTCCACTGGGAACGGCACCCGCCAACTCCGAGAGCAGGAGTGGGTAAGGCGGGCGGTGGACCTTGGCCTGCCCTCCTGCCTCGGTTCTCCAACCACGCATTCATGCATTCCAACGCCAGGCCCTGCTAGATCGAACCGGACCTTGAGGGTGCCCCGACCAAGGTGGGGTGGGAGAAACAGTGTAGGGGGGGGGCTGCTCCTGCAGGGGGTTGGGCACAGATCCGGGTCAGCCTCATGGATATGGGGTGAAGAGCCTTGGGGAGGTGGGAGCCCTGCGGGTCGGCGCCCGGTCAGCATGCCTGCTGCACACAGTCCATCACCCTGATGACCCCGCGAATGGATGCCATTTTCCCCATTTTCCATGTGGGGAAACCTGCCACTGTCACAGCCAGCAAGGGGCACAGCTGGGTTCGCCAGCAGACCCCAAAGCCCAGTGCCACAGAGGACCAGAGGCTATGGCCCGGCTGATCTGCAGTGACCCTACCAGTCATGGAGTAGACGAGGAGGCAGGAGAGAAAGAGGCCCCTCAGAGAGGCTGGGACAGAACCTAGAGGGCACTGGGGAGCCACAGAGGGCTCTACACAGAAGAGTGCCACCTGCTCTCTCAGCCCAGAGCCTCCTGCCCCAGGCCCTCTCCTTTGGCACCCCCCTTCCTCAGGATCCCCTGCCCCCTGGGAACCTGATGCTCCCAGGTGCCAGCTCCTCCCTCACCACCATCCATGCCCCCCTGTTCTCTTTCCTCCAGCCACCATCCCCTTCTGCCCCCTCCTCCACCAAGTGCTCCCTGGTTCACCCTCCCCAGCCTCGGTTTCTGGAGCTGCACACAGGCTGTGGGTCCAGGTACCTGAGGGCCTGCTGGGCAAAGACTTGCCTCTGTCCACCCCCGCTGGAGGCAGGCTGTCCCGGGTCCAAGTCCTTGCCAATGCATCACTGAAGCCAGTGTCACCTGTGCACAGCGTGGTGTACACAGCGCCGACCTTCAGCCCCAGGCCTCCCACTGGCCCTGGTATCCAGAGCCTCCTTCCAAGAAGGGAGCCTGGGAGTGGGCCGGGACATGTCTGGGACGCCGGGCAGCTCCAAACCCGCTGTGGCTACTGAAGAGAAGGCCTCACCAGCAGACCCCTGCCCCAGTTCCCACGGCCCCTGGCACGGAGCCCACCCCATCCACCAGAGTGAACTGGGCAGTGAGGCAGGGAACCCAGAATGAGAAAACTAGGCCTGGGTTTCCCCATCCACAGGAGGGGGCCTGCTGAGAGGACAGCCGAAGCTCCAACAACCCCAACCACTCATCTTAGGTGGCACAGTGGTACCTGCCCTTCACATATCCCAACACCTGGCACTCCGCGAATGAGTCCGTCTCATTCATGTATTCATTCACTCGACAGACATTCCCGCCTTTACCCCCAAGTGAGGAGGGGAGGGGTAGGTATGGAGGGGTTCGTGCCCAAAGAGGAATGTGACTTGCCCAAGGTCAAGGCTAGAAGCAGGGGCTGGTCTCCTGACATAGATGCCTCTTTCTCCCTGTCCCAGGCAAGGGACCCAGGAACAGAGCTGGACAAGGGTGTGGTGGCCCCTAGGAACCACCCTGGCCAGCTGGGATGGTGGGAAGGGCCCAGATCCCCCCCAGCTCCATCTCCTGCCACGCCCTCCCAGCCCTGGCCCCCAGCCCCAGATAGCTGGGCAAGAGCAGGCCCAGCAGGGCACCGCACACACAGGACTCCAGCCCATGCCCTCCTCCTCAGCCACCCGCCCCTCTCTGCTCGCCTACTCTGGAAGAAAGCAAGTCCAGAAGCCGGGGACAGCCTCCAAAGCCATCGAGGTCCTTTTCCTTCCAAAGGGGAACACCCACTGGCAGGATCTGCCAGGCCTGGTGGCTCCAGGCCCTCGGGGCCCAGTGGCCCTAGAACCAAGCAGGGTGACCACTAGGTGCTCCGGGGGGTGCTGGGGGAGGCCGGGGCTGGCAGGGAGACGAGCACCAGCACAGGGTTGGGGGGACTTCAGAATAGGGAGGACAATGGAGGCCCCTACAGCCTTGCGGGGAGGGGACATCCCAGCTCAGAGTCGGTCTGCCTGGAAGTTGGGGTGGGGAATGGGGGCTCTGGATGAAGGTGGGAGTGGCCCAGGGGAGAACTGGCCCAGGCAGGCCGGGACTTGCTAGACAGCCCCAGGCAGACGATGCAGGGAAGGGGAGAGGCTTCTTCCAGACACGTTGGCCCCCGTCATGCCCTTGCAGTGGACGTGGGGGGCAGGAGTGGAGCTGGGGGGATTCCCAGGCTAAACCGACATTTCAGGGGTCAGGGCCAGACAGCCCCAGACTCCAGTTCCCCTCTGTTCTTCCCCGATTGGGAGTGACCTCGGGCCAAACCCTCAAATGTCTCAGAGCCTCAGTTTCCCCCCACCGGCCTCCGACGACCTCTTGACTACCAGGGTCCAAGCGAGGCTGCCCTGGGAGCGTGCTGTGCCAGCGGTGGGGACCCTCCATGTGACGGGCAGGACTGTTTTCCGGAGGCTCCCGGCCGGGGGCTGACTCAGTCCACTCAGCGGTCTCCTGGGGCCTCTGCTGGCTTCCCACCCGCCCTTGGCCATGACTGGAGGAAGGGGCCAGGGCTGGGTCTCCGTCCCTTCCCCGGCAGCCATCTGCCAAGGCTGGAGTCCGTGTGCACGCACATGTGACACTCACAGGCCGGCCCCTCCCTGCGGTGGGCACTACCTGGCCTCTCAAGCACCGAAGACAAAGGGCACGAGGAGCCCAAGTCACCCGCCCCCCAGCCATCGAACTGGAAGAGTCTCAGCCCCCACCCATCCCCCAGCAGGGGCTGCTGGGGCAGATGGGAAGCCCCCACCCCTCAGCTGGAATCACTTCCCATCTCCATGCCCCCCAGGCCCACTTAGCCTGGCCACCAGCTAACCAGAATCCTCCAGCCCATCTGGGGGAGTGGGGGAGTGGAAGGCGAGTACCCGGCCTCCGTGCCTGCCCAGCCTCACCCAGGGGCTAAGCCGGAGCCAGGAGAGAAACCTGGGTCTCCTCCAGGCTGTGCCCTGCAGACCCTGCCACCATCATCACCATGATCCCTCTCCAGTCCCTGGGATCAAAGCAGTGCCCCCACGCTGGCCCCCCAGCAGAGTACTAGAGGTGCTTGTTGGAAGCGCGGAGTCCCCGCCCCCAGCCACGCCTGACTTAGAATTCACCAGGGTGGGGCGGAGGCGGCCACCTCAGAAACCACTGAGAGGCAGATGTGGCCCGGGAGACTCGCTAGGGCTGTGGTCCCCACACCCAGGGCTGGCAGCAGGCTGGGGCAGGGCGCAAGTTCCCAGAGACGTGAACCCCCAGATACACATCAGGGCCTCAACCCATCTCTGTGGACCCTTTCATAGCCCCTGGGAAGGGAGGCAACTTAGGCAGAGGGTGGAGAGCATCTTTCAGCTGGTCCCACAGATCCCCTAGCCAGCAGGGAGAGGGTCTCTTACTGCTCAATACACAGCCCCGCCAAGCTGGGGATGCCCCCTACCCCTGAGAAGGGCATTTATCTGGGTGAGGGGAAGACCACCCAGGACCTTCCGGGGTTCCCCTGTGGTCTCAGTCACCTGCTGTGAAATAAAGTAACAATTATAGCCATGAGGAGAGGAAGGGATTCAGGGGACACTTTTCTCTGCAGCCACCCCCGCCCCAATTCCACCCAGCACAGGGCCTCTCCCATGGAATCAATTTCCTCCTTAGGTGCCAGAGACCCCTGGGCCTCCCCTTAGAGGCAGGAACCTTCGGAGGCAGCCTCTGGGGCTGGGGGTCAGGCCAGGCGACCCACAAAAGTGCCTCCCCAGGAGCCCCCCCAAGATGCCCCACAAGAGCTCCACATCTGGTCCCCCAGTCACAGCTGTCGCCACCCTCCCTCATCCAGAGATTGCCCCAAACCCTGGCCGGCACTGGCCCTCACCCCCTGGTCCAAGTGGGGAATTCAGATTCCAGGCGAGTGGAGCGGGTGGCTAGAAATACACATGGGAAATTGTTGCCGGGAAAACACATTCTTCCTCCTATATGGCTGCCCAGACCCTGAGAGGATTAGGTGGTGAGAGGACACTCCCACCGCCCGGGGCCAAGGCCAGGCCGGGAAGGAGGGTGGAGGGGAGAGTGGGGGCCTTGGAAATGGGGTCCAGGCCTCCCTCCAGGCCCCAAGAAGGGGCCCTGGGAGACCTTTGTTTTCCCTCCGGCCTGTTCACTCTCAGCCCTCTACTTGTCCTCCCTGCAAGGGGAGTTCAGGCGGGGGAAGAAATCGCTGTGGCTACCCAGTTGCAGCTGGGTTTCTCAGAAACAAAAGCTTTGGGGGGACGCGGTTCACACGATTGTTTGCAATGAGGTTTTGGGATGTCTGTGGCATCCAGTTATTCATCCGGGCTCCACCCTCGGATAATTGAGAGTTGGCTTTTGCTGGATTTACACCCTCTTTCCTCCCCCTGACCCCCCTCCACCCAGGCTTCTCATGGACTCTGGGAGCTCACCTGGTCTGACCCCTTGGTTTCATAGACAAGGCCGGGAGAGGGGAGGAGTCTGACCCAAGGACCACTGGAAGTTGGTGGTGGAGCCAAGACTTGAACCCAGGGCAGGAGACTCCCAGGCCAGGGGCTTTCCCCGGTCACCCTCCAAGCTGTGACTGGGCTCCAGCCAATCCCCAGAAGCCACTGACCCCAAAAGCAGCGGTGCCTGGAAGTGGGGTGACTCACTGTCTGGCTTCCCAGGGCACCCCCTCCCCATTGGTGAGGGAGGGACTGGCAGGTGTCCCTGTGTAGAGAGCCAGGAGCAAGGAGAGAACTCCCCAGGGGGCCTGGGCCAGGGTCACTCAGGGGCCGAAGAGCCCCAGCTGGAGGGATTTAACACCAAAGGTCAAAGGTCACAGACAGGGAAGGGCGGGCAGGCACAGGGGGTCAGCGCTAATGGCAGCTCCGGAAAGGAGGGGGAGGAGGAAAGGCTAAGAAAAACAGGGTTGCTTCCAAGGGGTCCGCACACCCCCCAAAACACCATCCCAAGTCCCTGGCACTGTCTCCTGCTTGGCTGGCTGCAGACAGGGCCAAGTTGAGCTGGAGGTGGGCAGTGAAATGGGCCAGGCTGGAGCTTGGCAAAGGGTGTCCTGGGAGGGGCCTCCCAGGTGCAGCCCCTCCCCCTGTGCAGGCCAGGCCAGCTAGGAGGCCCAGCCTGGGCTCTGGGGAGAAGGAGAAGCAGAGGGGGAGGTCCGAGGTCACCCGGGATGGGTGTGTGGGCTGGGCCTGGACAGCTGTGGCACTGTGGCACCAGAATGGGGCTTGGGGAGGGGTGACCCAAGGGGCCAGTTTCCCCTCCCCTGAGCCCGGGGGCTGGAAGGCCCTCCGAAGCGCAGTGTCTCTGGGCTTCCTCCCCAGCCGCAGGCTGGCCCCACCTTCCCTCCAGGATGCCAGGACACGCAGGATGGCGGCCTACTACCCAGGGTGCCAGCCTCCAAGAACCATGGCCCAGGCCCTTTCCATGGCCCAGACCAAGCCCAGGCCTTGGCCAGGTCCCCAGCCGGCCTGGCTGCCCCCTCAGTGTCAAGCGTTCCCTCCAGAGCCAAGATCCTGGGCTGTGATGGCTGGGGGCCCAGGGCCCCTCCCAGCATCCCTTCCAGCTTCCCAGGCCCCAGGGCAGGGCTGGGCAACTCCTTGAAACCATTGCTTCCCGGCCACCCTCTGGCCAGGCTGGGCGGGCCCTCCTGGACAGGCAGACAGGCTGCACGCTGCCCTGCTGTGGCCCGAGTACCCTGCTGGGCAGGGCAGCATGCCAAGGCCTCCAGGTGCCAGCCTGGATTCCAGCCCCATCCCAGGGGGCCAGCGGGGAAGCTGTGCGTGCTTCTCCTCCCTCGGGATGCACCTGCCTCGCCCCCTCCTCCACCCGCTCCAGACCCGCCCTCCGGCGAGTATGGACCCCTTGCCATCTCCTCCCTGCCAGGCCGGTCGCCTGCGTCCACCCGGACCGCAGGGGAGTAACAAGTGCCTGACTTGTCCCAAACTCCCAGTCCTGACCCCCCAGGGACGCCCCTTCCCGAGGTCCAAGGAAGGACCCGGGCTTGCGAGGGGCAGCAGGAGGGAGACTCTCCCGGCCAAGGGAGGAGGCACCTTCCAAAGCCCTTCCTAGCAGCAGCCCCGGCGCGGCCGAGAGGAGGGGCGGCTGCCCCGGACAACTTCATGCCCAGGCTCCGGGTACCCCCCTCTCACCTCGCCGCACGCCCCCCACCGCGGCCGCCCAACTTCCCAGCTGAAGTTTGCGCCCGCCCCGGGCCCGGGCGCTGCTCGGCCCGGCCTCCAGACGGAGGGAAGGAAGGAGGGAGAAGAAAGACCGAGAGCTCGAGGGACCCGGCCGGGGAGCCGGCGAGGGAGGGAGCGCGCGAGCCAGCGAGCGAGCGAACGCGGGGGCCTCGGCGAGGGCTCACAATGGCCCGGGGCGCGGACGCGAGCGGGGGAGGAGACCCTCGGGCCCCGCAGCCCCGGCGCGACAGGCGGGCCCCCCCCCCCCCGCCCCGGCCCGGTCCCCACGGCGCGACGCCCGGGGGGCTTCCTACCTCAGCGGCGGGGGCGGTCGGGATCCGGGCTGCGGGCTCCGGCGGTCGGGGGGCGCGGGGAGCCGAGCGGGGGAGGGGCCGGGACGGGCGGGGGCCGGGGCGCGAGGCCTCACGGGGCGCGGGCTCCCCTGGCACGGCCGCCCGGCGCCCGGCCGCTCCGCCACATCTGCAGCTCGGGCAGGGAAGGTGGCCGCGGCGGCCGGGCCGTGCGGGGATGTCTTAGAGGGAGGGCGGGCGGGCGGGAGGAGGGAGGAGGGAGGCGGCGGGAGGAGGGCCCGCCGGCCGCGGAGGAGGGCGAGGAGGAGGGGCGCGGGGGGCGGCCTCCACCCCTCCCCTCGCTCGCTCGCTCCCTCCCTCCCAGCAAAACCCCTCTCACCGCTGCGGCCCCAGGCCCGGGGCGCCAGCTGCCAGGCGGGGCGTGCGCGTCGGGGGAGGGGGCGGCGGGAGCCGGCGCTGGGCCGAGGGAGGGGGAAGGGAGGGCGGCGCGGCCGCGGGGAGCGGGCACCGGGAGGGAGGGGTGAGGGAGGGAAGTGGGGCGCCGAGCCGCGCGCGTCCTCCTCGGCCCCATCCTCACGCCACCCCCCCCCCGCGGCCCCGCCCCCGGCCCGAGGGCAGCGCTAGGACACGGCCGGGAGGTGGCCTGGGGGGGCGGGGGAGCCCGAGACGTCCCGCCCTCGGGGAAGCCCGAGGAGGGGGCCGGGCGCGCGGGCCCAGAGGAAAAGCCCCGCAGACCGGGAAGATGGAGGAGGTCGCGGCGGCGGAGCGGGCGGGGACCCCTCGCCTCCTCCCGCGGGGTCACCTTGGCCAGGCCCCCCTGCGGCCCCGGGCGGCGGGGAAGGCGGCAGGAATGCCTCTCTGCGGGCCCTGATTTCTCCGCCCAGCCCAGTTCCAGGAACGCGCAGGCAGCGCCCGGCGGGCAGAGGTCCCGGATCCCGATGCCGGGCGGCGCAAACCAGTTTTCGGGGCCCGGCGCAACCCCTCACGCTGGTGAGACGGCGGGCGACTCCCTGCCGTGCCCTCGGTCTCAGTTTCCCTCACGGTAGAATAACGACGAGGCCCGATGCCGAGCAATCCGAGCTTCCGCTTGGTTCCTAGCTTGGTCCCAGCATTTGGGACCACCTGCGTCCACTAGCCCGAGCGCCGCGGGAGGTCTAGATCCCTCCTGGACATCAGCACCCTGCGCGGCGCCCGCGGCCAGGGCAGCGAGTGCAGTGAGCGGATACACGCGAGGGAGAAGCCCCGCACCCGGCCCAGCTGTTTTCTGCCTCGTGTTGAACCACAGACTCGCGTTCTTGAGTGTGTTTTGTTTGGGCTAATCCCGTGCCCCCCGCCCTGTTATCTTCTTGCTGCTCTGCTGTATGCTGGCAAATTGTAGTTCAAAAAAACAGCCCTCCTGCTGTTGGACACCCCCTCTTCCCAGCGCAGTTGGCCTTGAGGAGCCTAGGAGACGAAAAAGGCATCCCAGAATCAGCATCCCCTAGAGGTGAGGCATCTGACGCTGGTTTTAAGTCCGTCTTCATTCGTGCATTTGATGCTGCGGTCCCCGCCAGAGCCCGAAGCACGTGGCTCTTGATCACAAGGCATCCATGGCAGGCACAAGGCTTGGCACATAGTAGGTGCTCCTGGGCTGGTGCCCAGATGGACACATAGCAGGTGCTCATGGGTTATGTGGACACACAATCGATGCTCATTGCATTTTAAGAGAATGCACACATAGTAGGTGCTCATGGGCTGGTGCCCAGATGGACACATAGCAGGTGCTCATGGGTTATGTGGACACACAATCGATGCTCATTGCATTTTAAGAGAATGCACACATAGTAGGTGCTCAGGACGTTGTGGGTGAATGCACACATAGTAGGTGTGGACTCGTAATGGATGCTCATGTTTTGGTCTAATGAACACATATTAGGTGCTCATGACCTGTTGTGGAAATGGGCACATAGTAGGTGCGCAGGAGCTGTAGGTTGATACCTGGAAGGGATGTAGGAAGGCCGTTTGCCTGGAGCAAAGGCTCGGAAGTTGGCGATTTGGAGGTGACCTCCCCCAGCCTCCACCCTCACCTCACCCCGGTCTCCTGAGTGTGGATAATGTGGAGTGTGGCCGGGTTAAACATTAGCCGGGAGATGGGCCCCGGGGGAAGGCCAGTTTCGGGACCTAGCGCTTCCAGGAGGGGGCTATTAAGGGCCGACTCTCTGGGTCCGGCGACCTGTGCGGGCGTCCGGAAGGGCCGAGGCCGAGGCCCGCAGAGCGCCCCCTCACGGCGGCGGGAATCGCTGCGCTTCAGCCCGGAGCCCTGCCCTGCAGCCGACCGCATCCGACCTCAGGCAGGCAGAACTGCAGCCCTGGGGTCGAGGTGTGTAGAAAAAAGGTACAGGAGACGCTAGTTTAAATCTGTTAGCAAAAATGTTTATCGGTCGGGCGCGGTGGCTCATACCTGTAAGCCCAGCACTTTGGGAGGCCGAAGTGGGAGGATCCCTGGAGGCCAGGAGTTGGAGACCAGCCTGGGCAACATAGCAAGACCCCCACCTCCCACCTAGTCTCTATTATATTTTTTAAAAATTGGCTGGGCGTGGTGGCTCACGCCCGTAATCCCAACGTTTTGGGAGACTGAGGCAGGCAGATCACTTGAGGTCAGGAGTTTGAAACCAGCCTGGCCAACATGGTGAAACCCCATCCCTGCTAAAAATACAAAAATTAGCCGGGCATGGTGGTGCGTGCTTGTAATCCCAACTACTCAGGAGGCTTAGGCAGGAGAATCGCTTGAGCCTGGAAGGCATAGGTTGCAGTGAGCTGAGATCATGCCATTGCACTCCAGCCTGGGTGACAAAGCAGGACTCCATCTCAAAAAAAAAAAAAAGAAACTTCCAGTTCTTGGCAAGACCAGTCTTTCTTTTTTTATTTTTCTTTGAATTTTTTTAGAGACAGGGTCTCCTTCTCTTGTCCAGGTTGGACTGCAATGGCTCTATCCTACCTCACTGTAGCCTCCCTCCAACTGCAGGGTTCAAGCAAGCCTCCCACCTCAGCCTCCCAACGTGCTGGGATTACAGGTGTGAGCCACTTCCAGACCAGTTCTTTTTCTCTACCAGACATTTTATTTTTTTACTTTTATTTTTATTTGTATAAATAGAGACAGGGCGGGCACAGTGGCTCACGCCTGTAATCCCAACACTCTTATGAGGCCAAGGTGGGAGGATCACTTGAGCCCAAGAGTTTGAGACCAGCCTGGGCAATATAATGACACCCCAGACCTTTTTTTTTTTTTTTTTTTTTGAGACAGAGTTTTGCTCTTGTCTCCCAGGCTGGAGTCCAATGGTGCGAGATCTCGGCTCACTACAACCTCTGCCTCCTGGGTTCAAGTGATTCTCCTGCCTCAGCCTCCCAAGTAGCTGGGATTACAGGCGCTCGCCACCATGCCGGCTAATTTTTTGTATTTTTGCTAGAGATGAGATTTCACCATGTTGCTCAGGCTGGTCTTGAACTCTTGACCTCAGGTGATCCACCCGCTCCGGCCTCCCAAGAGACCACATCTCTTTACAAAAAATAAAAAGTTAGCTGGGCCTGGTGGCACACATCTGTAATCCCAGCTACTTGGGAGGCTGTGGTGGAAGGATCACCGGAGCCCTGGAGATCAAGGCTGCAGTGAGCTATATGATCATGCCACCGCACTCCAGCCCAGGTGACAGAGCAAGACCCTATCTAAAAAAAATAATAATAGCTGGGCGCGGTGGCTCACACCTGTAATCCCAGCACTTTGGGAGGCTGAGGCGGGCAGATCACCTGAGGTCAGGGTTTGAGATCAGCCTGGCTAACATGGTGAAGCCCCCCGTCTCTACTAAAAATACAAAAAGTAGCTGGGCGTGGTTGTGTGCGCCTGTAATCCCAGCTACTGGAGAGGCTGAGACAGGAGAATCGCTTGGACCCAGGAGGTGGAGGTTGCAGTGAGCCAAGATAGCGCCACTCTACTCCAGCCTGAGCAACAGAGCAAGACTCTGTCTCAAATAATAATAATAATAAGCTGGGTGTGTTGGCCTGTAGTCCCAGTTACTTGGGAGGTTGAGGCAGAAGGATCACTTGAACCCGAGAAGTGGAAGCTGCAGTGAGCTGAGACTGTGCCGCTCCAGCCTGGGTGACAGAGTGAGAATATGTCTCAAAATAATAATAATATTTAGAGATAGGTCTTGCCATCTTGCCCAGGCTGGTCATGAACTCCTGGTCTCAAGTGATCCTCCTGCCTCAGCCTCCCAAAGTGCTGGGATTCCAGGTGTGAGCCATCCCCAGCTCTTTCTCTCTACTGGACATTTTCATTATATGGATGACAACAGCACAAAGAAGTTCACTAACTTGTCCAGGGTTGTATAAGCTAGTAGGAGGCATAGTCCAGATTGCAGTCTCCATGTGTCTGCAGTCTGAATCCAAAGCTTGTGCTCTCTAACCCACTACTTCCCTGGAGCATCAGGTAGCTGTCGAGGTGGGGGACAGGCAGTGGAGACAGCCAACAAGGCCAGGCTCTGAGCTGTTTTCTCTAGGTTCTGCTTTTCCAGGAGGCAGCAGCTGCCATTGCAGGAGAGCCAGGCCCCATTTCTCCTTCTAGGTGAACAACAGGCATGGAGGCATGTCCCCCCTCCCTGCCATTGTGCTGGGCGTCCTCCTCTCAGAGTAGGCCCCTCTTGGAGGGAGGATGGTCTCTCCTATTAGACGGTAAGATCCCCAAGGAGAGGGACATTGTCTGCTTTGTCCCTCCCCCTGCAAGGTCCTGCCCAGGGCCTGGCATGTTGTCAGTGCTTCCTGAGTATCGCTGATAGATACACTTTGGGGGCTGAACTTGGTCCCCTAATCCTTTACCAGTAAACATTTATTGAACATCACCTAGGTTCACATTCATTTTTTTTTTTTTTCGAGACAGAGTCTTGCTCTGTCGACTAGGCTGGAGTGCAGTGGCATGATCTCGGCTCACTGCAATCTCCACCTCCCAGGTTCTCCTGCCTCAGCCTCCTGAGTAGCTGGGATTACAGTCCTACGCCACCACACCGAGCAAATTTTTGTATTTTTAGTAGAAATGGGGTTTCACCATGTTGGCCAGGCTGGTCTCGAACTCCTGACCTCATGACCCACCCACCTTGGCCTCCCAAAGTGCTGGGATTACAGGCGTGAGCCACCGCGCCCAGCTCCAACAGATTATTAAGCTCTCTTTTTTTTGAGATAGGGTCTCACTCTATTGCCCGAGCTGGAGTGCAGTGGTGCGATCACGGCTCACTGCTGCCTTGACATCCCAGACTCAGGTGATCCTCCTACCTCAGCCTCCCAAGGAGCTGGGACTACAGGCATGTGCCACCACACTCAGCTAATTTTCATATTTTCTGTAGAGACAGGGGTCTCACTATGTTACCCAAGCTAGTTTCGAACTTCTGGGATCAAGCAATCCTCCTGTCTTAGCCTCATAACAGGCGTGAGCCACCATATGCAGCTGAGACCCTGTCTCTTTTTTTTTTCTGAGACGGAGTCTTGCTTGTCACCCAGGCTGGAGTGCAGTGGTACAACCTCTGTCTCCCAGGTTGAAGCTATTCTCCTCCCTCAGCCTCCTGAGTAGCTGGGATTACAGGCGTGTGCCACCACATCCGCCTAATTTTTGTATTTTTAATACGGATGGGGTTTTGCCATGTTGGCCATGCTGGTCTCTAACTCCCGACCTCAGGTGATCCACCCACCTCAGCCTCCCAAAGTGCTGGGATTACAGGCATGAGGCACCGCGCCTGGCCCTTAGACCCTATCTCTAAAAAACCAAAAAAAACAAAAAAACAAAAGAAGTAACCCTTGAGACCTACATTGTAGATGTAGGAGAGATGACAGGAATCAGAATGGATGAATGGTGGCAGATCCAGACCTCTGGCCCTTGACCTTGGCCAAGCCCTCTAACCTCTCTGAGCCTCGGTTTCCCCATCTATGAAATCGCAGTCCTCAGGGTACCTATTACCACTGGCCTCTGTGAGGCTCAGTGGGAAGTGCACAGAAAGGGCTTCCAGCAGCACGTGGCTGGGAGAAAGAGCCCGCAAATGGTAGCTATTATGAATGAAGCAGCCCACAGCGGGCAGAGCCCAGTCACAAGGCAGGAGTGATGGAGGGAGTGAGATCAGGATGACTTATCAACCCTGAGCCGGTGGCCTGGCGAGCCTCTCTCTCCATTGGCGCTGGCTGGCTGAGCCTACAGAGCTGGGGCTGTCTGCGGGTGGGGTGTTTATTCTAGGAAGCGGCCCTGGCTGCTTCTCATTCCCTGCCCCAGGGAGAAAGGAGGGCTTCAAGTCAGAACCGAAGCCATGCTGGGCCTGGCATGTACAACACAGCGCCACCTGCCCGCAGGGCCCAGAGCTGAAAATGCCCAGGAGGTGCAGCCCCAGGGGCCTGGCTGGGACTTGCAGATGTGAGACACTCCCAGGGTGACCCACCTGACTCCCCAAGAACCTGTCCTGCAAAGCCTAAAATGCTCAGCTTTTGGAAGTCTAGAGACTGGGTCCTGCATTCCAGGGCGGGGACGGGATGGGGCGCCTGGGCTAGGGGGGAGAGTTCTATCAGAGGTGGGGATGTCCCTGGTGGCAGCGCTGTCACCCTTGGGCTCCTTCATCAGAGGCTTGCTTCATGGAAGCCATGTGAGCTATGCAGTTGCACAGGGCTGGCCCTTAGAAGGGCCTGAGTGTGGCTGAATGTTCTGCTGTCACCGTCTTGAAATTCTTAATCATTTTAGAACATGGCCCGCGAATTTTCATTTTACATTACGCAGCCTGTCCTGCCTTCATGGTTTCGTTTCTCCTAGCATGTAGCTTCTCCCTCCCATCAGTGTGGCGCACAGACCCAACCTTCAGCCACATCCAGCAAGACAGGAGTGCCTTAGGTAAGCCTCATTTCCTGAAAGGCCGTGGGAGACATGCACCTGCCACCCCAACCCAGCAGGACCAACCTTTCTGGAAAACCTGAGGCCGGCTGTGTGACGTGGGTGAGTCACTCAACTGCTCTGAACTTCTCGGTATCATAATATTGCACAGATCCTTGGGAAGTTTAAAAGAGGTAGTTTTGGGCTGGGCCTGGTGGCTCATCCCTGTAATCACAGCACTTTGGGAGGCCAAGGCAGGTGGATCTCTTGGGGTCAGGAGTTCAAGACCAGCCTGGTCAACATAGTGAGACACGGTGTCTACTGAAAATACAAAAATTAGCTGGACATGGTGGCACACGCCTGTAATCCCAGCTACTCAGGAGGCTGAGGCACGAGAATCGCTTGAAACCAGGAGGCAGAGGTTGCAGTGAGCTGAGATTGCACCACTGCACTCCAGCCTGGGTGACAGAGCGAGACGCCATCGCAAAATAAATAAATAAAAAGTAAAAAAGGTAGTTTTGGTTGGGCACAGTAGCTCACGCCTGTAGTTCCAGCACTTTGGGAGGCCGAGGCAGGAGGATTGCTTGAGCCCAGGAGTTCGAGAACAGCCTGGGCAACATACTAAGACCCTGCCCCATCTCTACAAAAAATTAAAAAATTAGCTAGTTGTGGTGGTGCATGACTGTAGTCACAGCTACTTGGACAGCTGAGGCGGGAAGATTGCTTGAACCCAGGAGGTGGAGGCTGCAGTGAGCCGATTGTGCCACTGAACTCCAGCCTGGGGGACGGAGTGAGACCCAGTCTCAAAAAAAAAAAAAAAAAAAAAAAGGCCGGTCACAGTGGCTCAGGCCTGTAATCCCAGCACTTTGGGAGGCTGAGGTGGGCGAATCGCTTGAACCCGGGAGGCAGAGGTTGCGATGAGCCCAGATCACGCCATTGCACTCCAGCCTGGGCAACAGAGCGAGATTCCAACTCAAAAAAAAAAAAAAATTTAAGATTATTGCAGGGCTGGGTGCGCCGTCTGACGCCTGTAATCCCAGCACTTTGGGAGGCCGAGGCGGGCAGATCACGAAGTCAGGAGTTCAAAACCAGCCTGGCCACCATGGTGAAACCACATCTCTACTAAAAATACAAAAATTAGCCAGGCGTGTTGGCGCGCACCTGCAATCCCAGCTACTCGGGAGGCTGAAGGAGGAGAATCGCTTGAACCTGAGAGGCGGAGCTTGCAGTGAGCCGAGATCGCGCCATTGCACTCCAGCTCTGGGCGACAGAAGACTGTCTGACGGGGTAGGGGAAAGATTGTTGAAGGCGCTAACTTGGAGGGAGAGGAGTCCGCCCGGGATCCCTAAGGACCTGCCCCGGGGAGGAGGAGCCGTCCCTCCCTTGGCCCCTCCCCTCCTGCCTTCCGAGGGAGGAGACCCCCCCAGGGCAGGAACGAGGGGGCGGAGAAGCGCGAGCGACACATTTTTGAGTCGTGACCAAGTGGAAACTCCCTCCCCGAGGCGGAAGCTGGGGGCGCCCCACTGGGGCCCAAGCCTCCGCCGGGGCGGGATTCCAAGCCAGGGGCGGGGCGCCGCCGGTGACCCGGGCCCCGCCTCTCGCCCGCCTCATGAATATGAACAAGCCGGCTGGTGAGCGGAAGTGCGAGGCGGCCCCAGGCTGGCTGGCTCTGCCGCTGAGAGGGGGGCGCGAGTCCGGGGGGCGTGGCCTGGCTCGGACGCCCCGCCCCTACCCCCACGCGGGGCCTCCTTCCGGCCGGCGCGCCCCGGACGTGACCTCGCGGGCGCGCGCCGGGAGCCGCCAGACTGGGCGCCGACAGCATCCTCCGGGGGTAGGCGCCCACAGTCATTCTTTCCATCGCTGCGGACACGGGAGTCAGAAGTGAAACAGTCCTGTCCTCGTGGGGCTTACGTTCCAGGCGCAAGAGCCACAGGTAGTCGAATTGGGAAACCGCCTCGGATGTCACATAAGCGCCCAGGGAGGACAGGGCAGGACAGGGCCTCCCTGGGGAGGTGACTTGAGTCAAGACTCAAAAGAGGGAAGCGAGGGAACAAGCCATGCGAGGAACTAACGAAGGAACATTCCAGAAAGATTTCACATCCCAAGCCTAAGGTCCAGGGGCAGCAGGCATTGAGGCGGATGTGGCTGGAGTGGAGAGAAAGAGGAATTAAAAGGATGGAGTAATGACAATAATGGCTCACATTTTTTAGCAAGAGGTGGGTTCACTACCTATCTGTCGTTATCTGGGGGGAAATTAGGCTCTGGGAGGTCAAATAACTTGCCCAAGGTCACACAGCTTGTAAGTGGCCAGACCAGCATTGGAACCCAAGGGGACGGATGTCTGAAACACACCCAGGAGTCCCAAGGTGGGATGACCTTGACCAAGACAGGCCCTTTACCCCTTGCCTCAGTTTCATCCCAAAGAGCTGCCCAAACACAGCTTAAAATCAGGGCACAGAGCAAGGGTGTAGCTGAGTGTGCGTAACATCTGTTCTCCTGGGAGATGCTTTTGTTGTCTGGGAAGCACTTGTCACCTCTCCAGGCTCTGGAGCAGGTACAAGTGGCTTCGGGGAGAAAGGGTGGGAGCCGGGAAGAGGCTGCTTCTGGTGGCAGGAGGAGAGAGGGAGTGGGTGAGGGGCCCCGGGCTGGCTGAGTGCTCTGGAGCATGACAAAGGCAGTGTCAGCCAGGCAGCTGTGTCCGCCACTAGCAACCGCGCAGGCAGCATCCCCCGCCATCCCTCTGAGCCTGGAGAGATTGAAACACACACAGTCAGCGTGCCTGCTGCCCAGGTGAGGTGCAGAAGGCCTGGGGGTTGCCAGTCTGGGCTCTGCCGCGAGAAAGTGGCTTTTCTGCAGCCGGAAGCGGGGAGGAAGTGTTTTCACCCTTCTACAAAGCTCTGTCTCTGCCTCTGGATCCACGGTGCTGCAGGCCTGAGGGCTCTCATGGGTACGGGCCTGGTGAGTAATCTAGAATTTGCCCCTTCCCCAGCCTGGTGCAGCCTCTAGTCTCGGCCTTCACGCTCTGCTGTAAAATGAGGCTGGGTCAGGAGTGGGACCCATCCTCCGTGTTTGAGGAGCTGGGCTATTACATGAGCCCCTACCTGAGGTCGCCAGCGAGTCAGAGGTCCTGGTGGGACCAGACCAAAATGGAACCTACTATCGGGCCCATTTTGAGAGGGAGACAGAGAGAAGTTAAAAGTACATGCACACACAGCTCTAAAGTAGCAGAGATGGCATTCAAGTCCAAAGCCTTTGACTCCAGGACGGGCACAGTGGCTCACACTTGTAATTTCAGCACTTTGGGAGGCCGAGGTGGGAGGATCTCCTAAGCCCAGGAGTTCAAGACCAGCATGGGCAACATGGTAAGACCCTATCTCTATTAGCGGGGCGTGATGGCACATGGCTGTAGTCCCAGCTACTCTGGAGGCTGAAGCAAGAGAATCGCTTGAACTTGGAAGGCAGATGTTGCAGTGAGCTGACAGAGCAAGATTCCATCTCAAAACGAACAATCAAACACTAGTCTTGCCCGGCGAGGTGGCTCAGGCCTGTAATGACCAGCCTGGCCAACATGGTGAAACCCCTTCTCTACTAAAAATACAAAAATTTGCTGGGCATGATGGCAGGCGCCTGTAATTCCAGCTACTTGGGAGGCTGAGGCAGGAGAATCCCTTGAACCTGGTAGGTAGAAGTTGCAGTGAGCCGAGACCGTGCTATTGCACTCCAGCCTGGGCAACAAGAGTGAAACTCCGTCCCCAAAAAGAAAAAAACACTAGCCTCAAGCCACAGCCATGTCTCCAACCTTCCCGGCCAGGTTTCTCAAAAGAGGGGGCTACCTGAGGTCACCCACTCCTGCCGAACTCCAGGTGGGCTTCCTCATCCCTTGCTCTATCCTAAACTGTTCCTTAAGTGACAGTTCACACCCTGACGTCTTCCAAGCTGAGACCCCACCAGCAGCTAGCTTTTCCTTTGTGGTTCCACCCACCTCCTAAATCCCTTTAGCAGCCGGGTGCGGTGGCTCGCGCCTGTAATCCCAGCACTTTGGGAGGCCGAGGCGGGTGGATCACGAGGTCAGGAGATCGAGACCACGGTGAAACCCTGTCTCTACTAAAAATACAAAAAAATTAGCTGAACGTGGTGGCGGGCGCCTGTAGCCCCAGCTACTCGGGAGGCTGAGGCAGGAGAATGGCATGAACCCGGGAGGCAGAACTTGCAGTGAGCTGAGATCGCACCACTGCACTCCAGCCTTGGCGACAGAGTGAGACTCCAGCTAAAAAAAAAATCCCTCTAGGGTCCTGCGCCTCTGCCTGTAGCCCCTAAAACCGAATACTCCTGAAAGTTTTATCCTGGGAACCCCTTTCCTTGACACTTTAACTCCGTGGAAGAGGCAAAAGTGAGGGGAACCCCCATCTCTACTTAAGAGTTCCCCACATATTTTTTATTATTATTTTTTTCGTGACGGAATTTCACTCTTTGTTTGCCCAGTCTGGAATGCAATGGCACAATCTCAGCTCACTGCAACCTCTGCCTCCCGGGTTCAAGTGATTCTTCCACCCTAGCCTCCCGAGAAGCTGGGATCACAAGCGCCCACCACCACACCAAACTAATTTTGTATTTTTAGTTGAGACGATTTCACCACGTTGCCCAGGCTGGTCTCGAACTCCTCAGATGATCGGCCCTCTGCCTCCCAAAGTGCTGGGATTACAGGTGTGAGCTCCTGCGCCCGGCTCAGAGTTCCCCATATTTATACTTGCCCTCCAGGGCACACTGGCCTCCATTTTTAGGGACTTGCTTGGTATCTGCCCTTGGGTAACCCACTGGAGCTTTCCAGTTGGACTCCTTGATTGGAGGGGAATCTGGCTACACCTGTCGCCCCAGGATGGACCAGCAGGGCCCGTCTTGAGGCTGCACTCGAGGATAGAGGAAAAAGTGTCATCTTTAAGAGTCCCACCGAGTAGCCAGGTTTCCCTGCCGGAAATTCCTGCCTTGTTTTCCTTTCCCTGGTAAAACTAGGAGAGCCACCTCATTTTCCTGAGCCCTGAGCCCTGAGCGCCCGCCCCCACCCCCGTTGGTTCTAGCTACACAGGCTTTCGGCCTCAGGGTTGCTTTGCACCATCCCCTTCCCCCGACCCAGGCAAGTTCGCTTCTGCTTCTCTCTTGCCCAGCCCTCATTAGCAGGCTCTGACACTTCTCAGCCGCCTGTCCGCTTTGCAGAGAACTGACATGTGAGCTGTGCCCAGGGACATCTGCTGAATGGGCGGGTCCCCTGCCGGACCAGTCCATCTGTCCCTCACTCAGTGTTCCTTCTGAGCTGAAGCTGCCCAGCATCCCCCATCTGTGTGAGTATTCACACAGCGCTGGCCAAAGCCCTGTCGGGAATCACGTGATTCAGATCCTGGTTTTGCCCCTGTCAGCCTTAGGACAAGACAGATTTCTTTTTCTTTGTTTCTCCTGAGATAGGGTCTCACTCTGTCGCCCAGGCTGGAGTGCAGTGGTGTGATCTCAGCTCATTGCAGCCTCAGCCTTTGGGGTTATAGCAAGCCTCCCACCTCAGCTTCCCAAGTAGCTAGGATTATAGGTGCACACCACCATGCTCAGCTATTTTTTTTTACATTTATATTTAGTAAAGACAGGGTCTCACTGTGTTTCCCAGGCTGGTCTCAAACTCCTGGCCCCAAGTGATCCTCCCGCCTTGGCCTCCCAAAGTGCTGGGATTACAGGCATGAGCCACCATGCCCTGGCTACCCAACAGATTTCTTTTCTTTTTTCCCCCCCAAGACGGAGTCTCACTCTGTCATCCAGGCTGGAGTACATTAGCGCAATCTTGGGTCATGGCAACCCCTGCCTCCTGGGTTAAAGCAGTTCTTCTGCCTCAACCTCCCGAGTAGGTGGGATTACAGGCGCATGCCACCACGCCCGGCTGGCTAATTTTTTTGTATTTTTAGTAGAGACGGGGGTTTCGCCATGTTGGCCAGGCTGGTCTCAAACTCCTGACCTCGTGATCCACCTGCCTCGGCCTCCCAAAGTGATGGGATTACAGGAATAAGCCACCATGCCCGTCCCACCCAACAGATTTCTTGAGGTGAGTTTTGGTTTCCTGGCATGGTATTGGCTACATGACCTCATCTGTAATGTCTTTGGCAAACAGAATAACTTGTTTTGTATTACTATGTTTAATCTTCAAAATCACCCTATTGAGTAGATTGTCACAATCAGGCCTGTTTTGTGGATGAAGAGAGGGAGGCTTGGAGAAGCCGCGTGGTTCATGCAAAAATGCAAAGCTGCAAAGTAGTGGCGGTGGGGTTCAAGTCCTGACGCTTTCACCACTGAGCGCCTTGCCATCCCCTGCTGCCATCCTCTCTTGGTTCTGATACTTCTTTTTTTTTTTTTTTTGAGATGGAGTCTCACTCTGTCGCCCAGGCTGGAGTGCAATGGTGTGATCTCGGTTCACTGCAACCTCCACCTCCCACGTTCAAGCGATTCTCCTGCCTCAGCCTCCGGAGTAGCTGGACTACAGGTGCCTGCCACCACGCCCGGCTAATTTTTTTGTATTTTTTTAGTAGAGACAGGGTTTCACCGTGTTAGCCAGGATGGTCTCACTCTCCTGACCTCATGATCCACCTGCCTCGGCCTCCCAAACTGCTGGGATTACAGGCATGAGCCATCACGCCTGGCCTTTAGGCCAGCTAATTTTAAGGTGCTTCTCTGAGTAGTGTGAACTGGGGGTCATGCGAAGGGGTCTCAGTGAATCTGGGCAGAGTGTGGTGCTGCTGGGAGTCTGCAGCCCCTTTCAAACAGTCTGGTTCCTTGAAAGGTTAAACATGGAGGCCGGGTACAGTGGCTCAGGCCTGTAATCCCAGCACTTTAGGAAGCTGAGGCAGGCAGATCACTTGAGGTCAGGAGTTGGAGACCAGCCTGGACAACATGGCGAAACCCTGTCTTGATGTAAAAAAAAAAAAAAAAAAAATTAGCTGGGTGTGGTAGCAGGCACCTGTAGTCCCAGCTACTCAGGAGACTAAGGCAGGAGAATCCTTTGAATCTGGGAGGTGGAGGTTGCAGTGAGCTGAAATCAGGCCACTGCACTCCAGCCAGGGTGACAGAGTGAGACTCCATCTCAAAAAAAAAAAAAAAATGTTAAACATGGAGTGACCATATGACGCAGCAGTGCCCCTCCTAGGTATATATCGTGTATATCTAAGAGGAATGGGAACATATCTGCACAAAAATTTGCATGGGAATGTTCAGAGCAGTGTTATTCATAAGAGCCAAAAAGTGAAAGCAACCATGTGTCCCTCACCTGATGAATGGATAAATCAACTGTGGTCTCTCCAAACAGTGGAATATGATTCAGCCATAAAAAGGAACGAAGCAGCTGGGCGCAGTGGCTCACGCCTGTAGTCCCAGCACTTTGGGAGGCCGAGGCCAGTGGATCACGAGGTCAGAAGATCGAGACCATCCTGGCTAACACGGTGAAACCCTGTCTCTAAAAAAATTAGCCAGGCATGTTGGCACATGCCTGCAGACCCAGCTACTTGGGAGGCTAAGGCAGGAGAATTGCTTGAACCTGGGATGCGGAGGTTGCAATGAGCCGAGATCGTTCCACTGCACTCCAGCCTGGGAGATAGAGTGAGACTCCGTCTCAAAACAAAACAAAACAAAACAAAAAAACGAAGCACCAATACATACTACAACATGGATGACCCTTGAAAGCATTATGCCCAGTGACAAGCCAGACACACAGGACGCATGTTGTGTGTTTCTGTTCATATGAAATTTCCAGAATAGGCAAATCCATAGAGACTGGAAGTAGATTAAGGGCCAGGGGCAGTGGCTTACGTCTACAGGCATGAGCAGTTTGGAAAGCTGGGGCAGGAGGATCACTTGAGACCAGGAGTTCAAGACCAGCAGTTCAAGACCAGCCTGGGCAACAGAGTGAGACCCCTATCTCTAAAAAAAAATAAAGTTAGCTGAGTGTGGTGGCGCCCACCTGTAGTCCCAGCTCCACGGGAGACTGAGAGGAGAGGACTGCTTGACCCTGAGAGGTAGAGGCTACAGTGAGCTATGATCAAACCACTGAACTCCAGCCTGGGCAACACAGTGAGACTCTGTCTCTAAAAATAAATAAATAAAAAGATAGGGTAGCTTAGGGGTTGCCTGGGGCCTGGGGTGGTGGTGAGCATCGGGGAGTGACTGCTAAGTGGAGTTTCTTTTTGGGTTAATGAAAATATTCCAAAATTGGTCAGTTGCAGTGGCTCATGCCTGTAATCCAAGCACTTTTAGGAGGCCAAGGCACGTGGATCACTTGAGGTTAGGGGTTCGAGACCAGCCTGGCCAACGTGATGAAACTCCGTCTCTACTAAAAATACAAAAAAATCTAGCTGGGCCCGGTGGTGCTCACCTATAGTCCCAGCTACTTGGGAGGCTGAGGCGGGAGAATCGCTTGAACCCGGGAGACAGAGGTTGCAGTGAGCCGAGATCATGCCACTGCACTCCAGCCTGGGTGACAGAGTGAGACTCCGTCTTGAAAAAAAAAGAAAAAGAAAATATTCCAAAATTGCAGTTATAGATGCACAGATCTGTGGATATTTAAAAACAACTGAATCATCTACTGTGGTGTAATTGTAAAGTGGTGAATTATATGGATTATATCTCAATAAAGGTCTTTTTTTTTCTTTTTTTTTTTTTTTTTTTGAGACGGTATCTTGCTCTGTCGCCCAGGCTGGAGTGCAGTGGCACAATCTCGGCTCACTACAAGCTCCACCTCCCAGGTTGGTGGACATTCTCCTGCCTCAGCCTCAGCCTCCCGAGTCGCTGGGACTACAGGTGCCTGCCACAATGTCTGGCTAATTTTTTGTATTTTTAGTAGAGACGGGGTTTCACCGTGTTAGCCAGGATGGTCTCGATCTCCTGACCTCGTGATGCGCCCACCTCGGCCTCCCAAAGTGCTGGGATTACAGGTGTGAGCCACTGCACCCGGCCTCACCAAAGGTCTTATTAAAAAAATTAGCCAGATTCCCTGCTTCAGTGATAAAAAAAAAAAAAAAAAAGAGGGGCAGGAGAAGAGGACCCAATAACTTCCTGAGTGACTGGGGAAAATATTTTTGGGTTATATTTCTGTAATTCTCGTGAAGTGATTACAGAAGTGACGGGATAGAAGAGGTTTCTTTAAAAAAAATTTTTTTTTTAATTTAGTAGAGATGGGATCTTGCTATATTGCCCAGGCTGGTCTTGAACTCCTGGACTCAAGCAGTCCTCCTGCCTGGGCCTCCCGGAGCTCCCGGGTTACAGGTGTGCAATCCCATGACCAGCCGATAGAGGACGTTTCTATTCATCCTTCAGACCTCAGCTTACAAGTTACCCCAAGATAAGCCTCCCCCACCCCATAACCCTCCCTCTGTCACTTTGTCACGTGTCTGAGCCCTTGTTTCTTCCTTTTTTTTTTTTGAAATGAAGTCTTGTTCTGTCGCCAGGCTGGAGTGCAATGGCGTGATCTCGGCTCACTGCAATCTCTGCCTCTTGGGTTCAAGCGATTCTCCTGCCTCAGCCTCCCGAGTTGCTGGGATTACAGGCACATACCACCACACCCAGCTAATTTTTGTATTTTTAATAGAGACGGGGTTTCACCATGTTGGCCAGGGTGGTCTCCATCTCCTGACCTCATGATCTGCCAGCCTTAGCCTCCCAAAGTGCTGGGATTACAGGCGTGAGCCACCGCGCCAGGCCTGTTTCTTCCTTTTATAGCTCTTCCCACACTTG